>NC_000006.12:14302424-14453939 GCF_000001405.40 Homo sapiens
AATAAAGCTTTTAATCACCTGGGTGCAGGTGGGCTGAGTCCGAAAAGAGTCAGTGAAGGGAGATAGGGGTGGGGCCGTTTTATAGGATTTGGGTAGGTAAAGGAAAATTACAGTCAAAGGGGGGTTGTTCTCTGGCGGGCAAGAGTGGGGGTCACAAGGTGCTCAGTGGGGGAGCTTTTTGAGCCAGGATGAGGCAGGAAAAGGACTTTCACAAGGTAATGTCATCACTTAAGGCAAGGACCAGCCATTTACACTTCTTTTGTGGTGGAATGTCATCAGTTAAGGTGGGGCAAGGCATATCACTTCTTTTGTGATTCTTCAGTTACTTCAGGCCATCTGGGCGTATATGTGCAAGTCACAGGGGATGCGATGGCTTGGCTTGGGCTCAGAGGCCTGACAGTCACCATTGATACATCTACATTGATTTATCATTATCACTCAGAGTCCACAGTTTATATTAGGATTTGCTCTTGGTGTTGGATGTCCTATGGGTTTGGACAAATTTATGATGGTGTATATCTACCATTATAGTATCCTACAGAGTAATTTTACTGCCTGAAAACCCTCTGTACTCTGCCTGTTCATCCCTCCCTCCCCTCTAACCTCTGGCAATCATTCATCTTTTTCCTGTTTCCATAATTTTGCTTTCCCAGGATGTCACACAGTTAGAGTCATAAAGTATGTAACCTTTTCAGATTGGCTTGTTTCACTTAGTACTATGCATGTAAACTTCCTCCATGCCTTTTCATGGCTTGATAGCCCATTTTGTTTTAGTGCTGGATGATATTCCTTTGTCTGAATGTGCCACAGTTTGTCCATTCACCTAATGAAGGACATCTTGGTTTTCTCCATGTTTTGGCAACTATAGACAAGCCATTATAAACATCCTGTGTAGGTTTTTGTGTGGACATACATTTCCAACTCATTTGGGTACATACCAAGGAGCGTGATTGCTGGATCATACGGTAAGAGCATGTTTAGTTTTGTAAGAAACTGTCAACTGGTCCTCTAAAGTGGCTGTACGCTTTTGCATTTTCACCAGTGATAAATGAGAGTTCCTGTTGCTCCGTATCCTCACTAGCATTTGGTGCTGTCAGTGTTTTTTGGCTATTTGAATAGGTGTGTAGTGGTATCTCATTATTGTTTTAATTTGCATTTCCTTGATCACATATGATGTGGAGCATCTTTTCATATGCTTATTTACCATCTCTATATCTTCTTTGGATGGGTGCCTGTTAAGGACTTTGGTCCATTTAAAAAATTTGATTGTTTGTGTTCTTACTGTTGAGTTCAAAGCATTCTTATGTATATTTTGGATAACAGTCTTTTATCAGATATGTCTTTTGCAAATATTTGCCCCCAGTCTGTAGCTTGTCTTTTCATTCTCTTGACAATATCTTTTGCAGAGCAGAAATTTTTAATTTGAATAATGTTAAGTTTATTATTTCTTTCCTTGTGCCTTTGGTGTCATTACATAAAAAGTCATGTCTAAGCCCAAGGTCATCTAGATTTTCTCCTATACCGTCTCCTAAAAGTTTTATACATTTTACATTTAAATCTGTGATCCCTTTTTAATGTTCTATATTGAAAAATTTTAAATATGCACATAAGTAAAGGAAAGAGAATAATGACTCCATCTACCCATCATCTGCTGCCCAGTGTCATCAATTATTATTATACCAGTTTTATTTCATTTATCTTTTCCCTCCACATTGGTGTTTTTGTTTGCTTGTTTAATATGATGTAATTTCACTCCTACCTGCTTGGGAGGGGTAACCTTTTCAGGCAGCAGTTCGACATGGGGACCTTACCCTGTATGTGCTGGGTTCACTAAGTGTTAGTGCTGGTTCTGCCTACACTTTGGGGGCCCTGGTTCCTACAAAATTTTCACAGTGGCCCAGCTAGCTTAGTCACATTACGTCTATTAATCTGAGTTGATTTTTACAATTCCTTCTGGATAGTCCTTATTATGTTTGCTTTGAAAATCTAGCTTTTGCACCTCCACTTAAGCACAAGCCTGAATAGCTTCATTTGCTTTGAGAGAAAAGCAAGTGGAGCCAGTCAACCTTATGAATGAATGGAAGAGAAAAACAGTCAATGTGCCTAACTACAAGACATTGAGTAAAGATGAGCATAGTGTGAAAAACAGAGGCAAATTTCCCAAACTGCACATCCAGACTTGCCTGCAAAACATTGTTAGTGTGGAATCACAGACTTTTAGTGCCCTAAGGACTTTAGCAACTGTTTGGCCATAACACCCTCATTTTATGGATCCAGAGATACTAAGTAATTTATTTGAGGTCACACCGCTTGCTTTCTGATACTAAAGTCTGAGCCCTTAAACCATACCTCTCCGCAGCCTCCAGGTACTGGTAAAAGTACCAAGGCATGGAAGAGTGAGGAAGGGTGATTGTCTGAGACAATGGTAAGGAGTTAGCCTAGCCTTAAGTATCTTTAACTGTTGACATTTTCTTCAAAGAAGTCATTTGCTTTATTTGTAACCAATACATATTAGATTCATGGTAGATATATACTAGGTGATAGCATAGAATGGCCCATGATAGAAGAAAATTACCATTTTTTAAGGAAAAGGCCCTCCCAGTGGCACGGTTAGCTCAGATGGGAGAATGAGGCCAGGATGGACTGGGAAGGCCCGAGCATCTCTCTGTGCTGGGAAGAAGGCAGGCCTGACAAGCCACAACTCCCTCACCAGTAGAAAACTCACTGAAGGCATGTATCCACACAGTGGTAGGTAAGGTGCAGCATCCAGAAAGGTGAGAGGAAATAGGCTCGCTCACTAACATTCAAGGGAAGGGCCATGCAAAAGCCCTCAGCTGTAAGAAACCGTCCTTGCAACCCGTGTTGCCCTGACTCATTTCTTGTTCTTCCAAGTTTGAACAGTGCCCAGGTTGATGACAGGAACTAGAAATGATGTCAAGACTTAACTCTCATTTTACTCATAAAGGCGTGGCAGGAACGTGGGTAGCCCCTAGGGTGAATGCTACCCATGGAAGAAGATGAACCATCCTTATTAAGCCCTCCATGTGCAGGGCATGGGGTGCTGCTGTGTGAGAAGAGAGAAAAATAGCTCTCTATAATATGGGTTGTTGAACATTATGGGCTTCTCAGAATGAGTTAAATTCTCTTCTGTGGCTGACCATAATTCACCATAGAGACTCCTCTCCTGGATATATATTTTTGAAATTCCTAGACATGCAGAGATAAGTCCACCCTGGAACCTGTAATGGGGTTCCTCCCTGAATTAGCTCAGGCCCCAAAGGGACAAGGTGCTATCTGTGACCTGTGCCAGGGAATACTCTGTACCCTGAAAGCCAAGCCTCAAGTATTCACGGCTTGCTATCTCCAGGGTAATTAAAGGGGAGAGAGTAAATCACACACTGAAAAACAGCCCTGAGTGCTTAAGTACATGTCAGTCACCGAGACTGGCATCTACTCAGAGTGGAGGAGACCTGGGGTTTGCATTACACACAACACCCCATGAGATCATTAGGGCTACTTCAAGCACATGGCTTTCAGGGTTACCACAGCCCCTCCTTTTTGCCCAAGTAAATGCAATCAGATTCAACTGGGAACAAATTAGGGAGGCAAAATAAAGCACACTTACTGAAAACCAGCAAGAAACTCTACTGTCTCCTATTAGAAAAATTAGAAACCATTTAACAACAAGAGACCATTTTGTGTTGGAAATAAAAGAGGCCCTGAATGAAGAGTGCCACGCCAGAGCTGAGGGCGCCTTCCAGGTGAGATCAAACGCGGAATGGGGGGCCAGCCTGGACTAAGCTGGGTTCACCTAAGTCCTTATTAGCTGATGAGCAAAGACTGCCCAGCGAACCAGATGTGTGAAAATTGGCCAAGAATCAACTTTCCATGGCATGTTTTCTTGGTAGATTTACTTGTATAATTTCCTATGTAAGAGGAAAAATAGCTTGGGCAGCATTTTCCAGAAGACTGGCACTAAGTCAATTTCAGTCCTTGAAAACTTAGAGGTCTAGCCAGGCATCCATAACGAAGTTGTGGCCAGTCTTTTTTTTTTTTCATATGTTTTTTCTTCTCTATTTCCTTTTAGACCTCATGGTCACACCTCATATATTAAGATTCTAATTTGTTTAACATCTAGGTGCTGAGCAAAAAGGAAACACTAAACACTGATGGATAGGGTCGCTACTGGGTAGCAATAAATGGGGGTGGGGAGTTGTGCGAAGAGCGAGAAAGTACACAGCTGATTTTCATTTCCTAATAGGCATTCTGCCTGGAAACCTGTATAAAGACCTGAAATATGTATTGCTCTAAAGACTGTGAATGTTTAAAATGTCATCTTAAATTAGTAAGTGTCTTTAAATCTTCACTCTTTTGTCACGTTTTAGTAATGTTTATTACACACCATAAATCTTATTCATATCCACATAAATTGAGCCCCTAACCACGAGGGAAACAAGTACTTCTACTCACTGATATAAGATTCCGGAGCAGTGGATGACATCAAATATTATGATTGCAAAAAAGAAAGCTCTCCTGGGGAAACTGGTTTGGGGAGAAGGAATAATCACCTTTCTACTTTCGTTGTGGAGAAAAAATGTTAATATCTCTGAAATTCTGTCTAGCAATTTTGGGGGTTCAAATAAGTGGTCATGATCTAATGAAAGTTTAAATAAGTCGTTTCTACTGTGCTTGCATTCGGATTGATTTCAGCAAGTATAGTAATGGTGAATAAGATAAATCGAAAAGAAATCAAAGTTTGTTAAGATAGTACAAAAAAAGAAGCAATTTATAAAGGTTGAGGGGTTATCTGCAGTGGGATTTTAGTGTATGTGAGGACAAAGAGTGACAAGATAAGAGTGGAGAGAAAAAAGAGTTCTGTTTAGAAGTTCTGGACTGGCTGTCCCCAGACATCTGGGTTTCAAAGACCAGTAAAATCTTTTTTTTTAAATTTCAGAGACTGACATACGGTTGATAGCTTTTAATTTTTCCAAATAAAGGACATAAAAATGTTATTAACTATCATTTTGCATTCTTCTAAACAATAAGGATCCTTTTACTCAGAGTTTTAAAAACTAAATCAGTTAAACTTTAGGGAAAATTCACCTTGTCATCCTTTATTTTCTCATTTTGCCATTACTTTGCAATGGAACGCAGACAACTGTTTAGGAATTGCTGCAGGTTCCATGGAGACCTATTTTTAATACCAGTGAGGTCTTCAATATTTTAGGAAGAGATTTCCCCCACCCCCGCACCTTGGTCCTATGAGCTCTCCTCAGGTGATTTTGTCTGCTGACTACTCAGGTTCCCGATCAGAGAGAAACATTCAGCTAGGATGTTGTGTACAGTCACCCATTAGCTTTTGTTCTGCCAGGGATTGTCAGAGATGGCCTGGTGGGGACAATGACTGGGCGAGGAACTCTGGACTTAACTAGGTCTAATGTTGATATGGTTGGGATCTGTGTCCCCACCCAAATCTCATGTTGAAATGTAATCCTCAGTGTTAGAGTTGGGGCCCGGTGGGAGGTGACTGGATCATGGGGGCAGATTTCTCATGAATGGTTTAGCACCATCTCCTCGGTACTGTCCTCACAATAGTCAGTGAGTTCTCACGAGATCTGATCTTTTAAACGTGTGTGGTACCTCCACCCTCTTTCTCTGGCTCCTGCTTTCATCATAAGACACCTGCTCCGCCTTCATCTTCTGCCATGATTGGGAGCTTCTTGAAGTCTCCCCAGAAGCAGTTGCCCCTATGCTTCCTGTACAGCTTGCAGAACTGTGAGCCAATTAAGCCTCTTTTCTTTATAAATTACCCAGTATCAGGTATTTCTTTATAGCAATGTGAGAATGACTTAATACAAAGGTCATCTCTGACTGCCTGGAAATGCTTTCTTTAGCTTCCAGATTTTCATGCAAGAGACATCTGCTCTTATAAATCCTTCCTGACCAGCAGCCACCTTAGCCCTGGGTAGAGTAGACAGGGGGTGGCAAGCTTGGCTGAAAAGCAGAACGATGTGGAAGCATTTATTAAATGTAAATTTGTTCTCCACCTGCTCTGGAAATTCTAATGTCATCGTTCTGGGATATGCTCTGGAAGGTGTATTTTGATTTAAGAACTAAAACTCTCTGGCTGATTCTGAAGCCTGAAGCCCACCTTCTCCTGGGCACCCTCCTTCCCTAGGACAGACTTGGTATTATATCCCCTATAACACTTCAGTGCACTTCCTGAATTGCTTTTCTCCCTTGGCAGTTGTCTCTCTCAACCCCCATGTCCATCCCTGCACCAACACACACACCTACACACACACACGTGTGCATTTTCACACCCCAAATTATAAAATCTTTAGTGAGGGAAATGATTTATGTTAGTTTCCATAATAACTAACATAATGCCTGGCACATAGTAGAGGCTAGCCAAATAAATACTTATGCAATGTATATCAGTAAATGGATCTTTTCCAACTCAAAAATTCTGCATTCTGCTCCTTCCCACTGATAAGCAGTAAGATAAAATAATAGAAAGTGTAGATGCACACAGAATGATAAGCAGAGAGCTAATAGTCTGTGATGGCATGGAAAGAGCTGAGTTCCAACACAGGTTGTATTGCTACAGCCGTGCGCCCAGGAGCCACCCACTTACCTCCTTACTTCAGTATGCTCAATAGTTAAAGAGACCACAGGGTCACTCTGGTCATTTTTGGCTCTAAAATTCAATGATAAATGGATACAAATAATTTTCTTTCTAAAATTATAAACTTGCTTACGCTTTGAAAAGTAATACAATTTCAAGGAAAGCAGAATTCCAGCATAGACAGCTGGCCCCTAAATGAACTCTTTTTATGGTTACTATTTAAAAACAAAAAGATCTTTGATTTTTTTTAAAATCTGCTTTTGCACTGCATAATCCATTCCTCCATTGATGAAATAGTTAATATAGAAACGCTACACAAGAGCTTACCTGAGTTCTTATTAAATATTTTCTTTGAAAAATATATTTTGTAGCTGGTGTTACCAGCTGTCACTAAATCCACTGACAACCTACCAAAAGAATAGTAAAAATGCCAGTCAAAAAATTAAAGCCAAATTGCTCACCATTTTAAAATGAGGAGAAATTTTAAGACTCTTCCTAGCATTTGACATATGCTCAGACCATAATCTGAACACCGTCTTCCCTTTAGTGTAATATTTTCAGCATAAACTGAAGTTAATATAAATTGGTGTCAACTACCACCTGTCACACAATGCTGGAAAGCCGTGTCACCATGAGAAATGGACCAGGGGAAATAAATAACCTGCAAAGTGGTAGTCTGCAAATATTGACACACATGACCAGAATTCTAGATAAATGATAGCAAACATGGCACAGATCGAAACTTAAGGGCTTGCACATCTTTGTATCCTAGTCAATCTGCTTTTCATAAATCTGCTTAGCGCTAATGACTAGAATGCATTTTTAATAAATTAATTTTGAATAGCTGGTACTCTGGAGGGAGGTTGGGACTTGCCCTCATGTTATTAATAGTGAAAATGGAAGCCTCAATTTAGAAACACGTCTGTAGCTGTTGTAATATAGAGTCCAACAAAATGACCCCCACAACAGGTGACCCTGATTGTGCTGTAGATTTGCTTAGTCCTTAACACTGTTCAGTGGGTTTTCGAAGACATTATCAGTTTTGAAAAATGACCCATTATGTCTCCAATATGTGTTTTAAGCTGTTTATCCTATAGTCATGACAAATATAGTCTTATCCACGCCCTGCCTTTATGTGTTCTGAACTGTGGACGTGCAAGGCAGCTAACTGGGGCCGGGACTAAGTACTGTCTGTGACGCTGAGATAGAGATTCATAGTTTAACTGGGACAAAGAGGATCAGGGGCCACATGCCTGCTTTATCCAACTGACCTAAAAAGAACAAAGTCTGCATTGATGCCTGTAGGTTAATCCCTAAGATCCCCAATACTCGAACATAATGTTTACATGAAAGTCAGTGATTTTCTAGGTCACCAGTGCCTAAAATTGGGTGACCCAAGTGTGAGAAGTAGTCAGACTTGGGTGGCAGAAATTGCTGCTTTAAAATTTTTCCTGCATACAAAAGACTTAATTGGGTCTCCTGAGACCTAAGTCCTTGTGGCCAAAAGAATGTCAACTCCCAGAGGGCAGGAACAGCCTCTGCATCATTTAGTATTGAATGGCACAGCACCTAGTGGTGTGCCTGGGACTTAGTAGATACTCAATACATTTGTGTTGAGGGAATGATTGATTAAATGAATGGATTCTATGGTTTCTGCCACAAGTAAAATAGCTTCATTCTCCCACTTCCCATGTTACCCAGTGTTACACCCACTGTCAGTCCGCCCCTTTCTTTGCAGTGACCTATCTTCTCAGAGAGCTGAGACTGGTGTGATAATTACCATTTGCCTTACAAAAATAAGAGATAATTGTTTCCCCTACATTCACCAAACTCTTAGAGATAGCCAAGGAACGTTTTCTGCATAAACATGCAGTCCTCATCATATCACCATCAGCCTTGTATTGAAAATTAATGACTATTTCATAAAATATTGAGACCTAAGACTGGCACTTAAAACAAAATTATCCTTTTCTTTTCCCTTAAAACCGCTCCTGATTAGATAACTGCCAGACTCCAGTAATGTTGTGAAATAAACCTGCAAACACTCCACGATCAGAGTGACACAGCGTGCCTCACTCTCACGCTAGTGGGCTGGTGGTTGGTTGGTTCTAGCACCCATTAGCATGAGTTAATGAGTAAGCATTCCCTTCCCTGTCACATTCCTTGCCTGTTATTAGCCAAAACCTGAACTTTAGCTTAATTGCAGAAACCAGCCCGCCCATAGCAGATGAGGGCATGGTCCCTATTGTTTTGACTGCATTCAAAGTGCTAACCTGGGGGACCATGACAGATGACATGCTCCAGCACTGCAGAGAGCAGCAGGTGGGGTGCTGGGACTATGGGTGCAGAGAAGAAAAATGGCATTTTCCAAGCCCCCAGGATTTGATTTTCCTCACACTTACTTACTCAGCTGTGCACAGTAAACTAGATTTCACAAGTATCAGAGATTCTTACAGATCTAGCTTCTTAGATTTTACTTTAGACTCTTGCCAGCTTTTCTGAATTTGAAATTGGTCATTTCATAGACTCCCTATACCTCCCCTTTTCGCCTCACCCTGAATTCCCTGCTACTTTCCTGAAGCTTCTGTTGGCCTACTGGGAGATTTGGTTTCTCTGGCGCTGAATCAATTGAAGAATCAGAAATATTTGAGACTGGATGTGATCAGAAACTCTGGCTTTTGAGTTTTAAGTTTTATTAAAACTCATGTATTTATAGGGCACTTTAGTTTTAGAATATTTGGTATCTTCAGCCTCTGTATTTAATTCACACAGCTCTTTTACTGACTGGAGATCATTTCTTTTTGCTCACATTTCTTTATCTTAGAAACAGACGTAATCATACCCAAAGTCTGCTGGTTGCCTGTATCAATTAGGATTATTTTGGTTGTGAGTGACAGTAAACAGCACAACTGGGTTAAGTAAAATGGGATTTTTGACACACATATAATTGAAAAGTCCAGGAAAGGGGCTGGTTTCAGATGCACTGTGATTTAGAAGCTTAGATATCATGATGGCTTGTTTCTCTACTACCCTGGGTTTAGCTCTACTCTCCTCATCAGGGTTGGGACTGCAGCCCCATAGTGCCTTTCTCTGAGCCTCATACCCAATGGAGAAACAGAAATTTGTGATTCCTAGACTTGAATCTCATTAACCTTGATGGGCCAGACTTTGGGTCACATGCACACTCATGAACAAATCACTGTGGACAGGCGGCAGGTAGAGTGTGGTGATTGGATTATCTTAGATTACATGCTTCACTCTCAAGCCTGGGGGATGGAGTTGGCTGAATGAAAACAATATAGACTAAGAGTTGGTGGATATACGCCCAATAATATTAGGGCACTGCTGCCTCTAGATGGGAGAGTGGAGAGTGAGTGGTATAAACAACAAATATCCGCTAAACTACCGCAGAAAAAGGAGCAATAATTGAAAAAAGTAAAGCACTTTGAATCTCTTGAATTAAAAAGCAATATGAATTTACAAGATGCAAACACCCCTTTTTTTTTCATGCTGACATAGGGAGATGGAAGTGGCACGCTATACAAACTAAGTGTTACTTGGCATTTGTCTGAGTGATAGTGTTGTGATTCGATTGACGTGACCGAAACTAAATGTGGAATTGAGAATCTGTTCATGCTATTCTGAGGTCCTCTTTTGCAACTTTATATTTATCAGCATGGGCTATTGTAAGAAACAAGATGGTTGTCATAAATTGATCAACACTCTCTGGTCTTCTGTTGTTCTTGCTTATTATGGACTTTGGGAAGAAGTCAATTAGAGAAGTTCTTTAGCCAGTATCATAATGAGTAATGGGAACATTTACATGATTGCTAATGGCTGAGTTTACACGATGCCTCAAAGCATCAGTGGGGATGTTTGGCAGCAGCACATTATGACGGTGATTATCACTATAAATTAAGTTTATGTTGATATAATTAGCAGTTAAAAGCTAAAGTAATATTTATACTGATACAAGTTCTATCAAAGCCATACCAGTGCAAACAGGCTGTGAATGTTGATATAGTGGGGATAATTTCATCTTGCAAGAGGGGATGTTTCTAGAATTGAGATAGCCTATTGGCATACAGTTGCCCCTCCCACTCCTAGCCAAAAATAGAAAGTATAAACTTGACCAAATTGCTTCACAAATTCAGAATCTATAACTTAGTGCAGCAATCCCCACTGAGGATAAGTAAGATGCATCTTGGTAGTTTAGGCCTTGAATCACTGAACCTGGAAAGAGAGAGAGAGAGAGGGAGGAGGAAGTGAGAAGGCATGGGATGCCTAGGTAACTGGTTGTGAGCACAAGTCCACAATGACAAAGATAGGGTCTTGCCAGACAGGATCATTTGTCACAAGGGAAACCACCTAGGAGGATCGGGAGGTCTCATTAAAAGCACCTGATCATGAGCTCATTGCATGAGCTTTCTTGAGAAACTACAGCTGGGGCCAAGAATTGTGAATCCATAGTCTTCCTTCTCTGCCCTAAGAGGTTGAAGGTTGTAGCAACACTTTACACTTTTGAGGTCACCAGCATCAGATGACAGTTCTTTCCTCAGAGAGTGGGCCAGATCCTCCCGACTCCAGATCCTCAGCACAGTATCTAAGGCTGCCAAGTCACTCTGATTTCTTCTTCACGTCACATGCTTTGCAGGTACAGCCCCTAATCCATAAGACTATCCCCATAGTTGGTGGGATTCTCTCTTCTTTAGGGAAAAGGAAATAGAGTAGAGGAAGGATAAGTGACTTTTAAGAAGCCCCACAGTGAGTAAGTGGTAGAGAAGGTGGTCAGGCGGCCTGAGGCTGGCTGGTTTTGGAGCCATTTTGCCCCAGAAGCATTCATTCAGTCAGCAAATATGTATTTATTCAACACATATTTTTTCAGGGCCTGCCATCTGCCGGGCACTTTTCTAGGAGATATATATATATATATATATATATATATATATATATATATATATATATAAATCAGCGAACTGAATAGGCAAAGACCTCTGTCCTCTGGAAGTCTGTATTTTAGGCCTCTCTCTGGAAGTGTATGATCTAGGGAGGAATCCTAGAATGCTCATTACATGCTTGCTCAAAGCCCTCACCTGCAGGGCTGCTTGTGTTAACATGCTCTCTAGAGGGCTCATGGTGGTCTGATGTCTCTCTACCTGCAAAATATCCAGCAACTTAGCACTTTGAATACAAAAAAGAAAGAAGTTGGTAGTTTTTGCAAATTGAGGGAAGTAGGAAATGATGACAGCAACTGGCCCTCAGTATCCTCTTTGGACAGGGAAAGCTGTTTGTTGTGCCTAAGATGGGAAGAGAAATAACTGGCATCCCAAACCCTGAATTCAGTCCTGCCAGCTCTAGGTGACTACCTTGGCCTGCTTGGACTGCTATAATGGATACCATAGACTGGGTGGCTTAAACAATAAACATATATTTCACACAGTTCTAGAGGCTGGGAAGTCCAAGATCTAGGTGCTGACAGATCTGGTGTCTGGTGAGGGCTCCTCAGTTCCCATTTGCAAACATTTGGTCCATATGGACAAACACTTAGTCCATAACAGTTACTAAGAGAACTGACATTTCCTGAGGACCTATTAGTTGCCGCACAAGTTATTTATGTCATCTCATTTAATCATCACAGCAGGCCTAATGAAGTGGGAACTGTTTTTCCAATTTTATACATGAGGAAACTGAGGAACGACTAGTTAAGTAACCTGTCCACATAGATTTTAGTCACTGAGCTGGGTTTCAGACCCTGGCCCATCCCCTGCCACCGCTGAGGTGCCTGCTAACACCCCTCACCTAGGCGGGGGGCACTCAGAGGAAGAAAGTCAGTAGCCCCCCTGTCCTTCTCCACCGTGCTCCCTCAGGATGCAAGCAGGAAGTCTTGGGCAGGAAGAGGTGGCTCCCCTCAGAGGGACACGGATGACTAGACTGTCAATGAGAAGCAAAGAAAAACCAGAGTGGTGAAATCTGCAGAAGAGAAGGTCCCTTTTATGCTTTTGAAAAATTGTGTGGGGTGCTAGTGGCCTCTAAAGTGGTAAGGAAAATTTTCCATCATCCAGACAAAGGAGGTTAAGAAGAACAGCGGCAGATGTGCAAGAATAACTACAATAATTAGCTAGGGGAACATATATACTGCTAACATTTTAAACTTTACCCAAACAGGCCATGCACGGTGGCTCACGTCTATAATCCCACCATTTTGGGAGGTCGAGGTGGGAGGATTGCTTGAGCTCAGGAGTCTGAGAGCACCTGGGTGACATAGTGAGATCCTATCTCTACAAAAATGAATAAATAAATAAAAATTAGCCTAGTATGGTGGTCCTAGCTACTTGTGTGGCTGGGGTGGGAGGATCACCTGAGTCCCAGAGTTCAAAGTAGCAGTGATCCATGATCACACCATTTCACTCCAGCCTGGACTATAAAGTGAGATCTAAGAAAGAAGGAAGGAAGGGAAGGATGGAAGGAAGGAAGGAAGGAGAAAGAAAGAAAGGAAAGAAAGAAAAAGAGAAAGAAAAAGAAAGGGAAAGAAGAAAGGAAGAAGAGAAAGAAAGAGAGAGAGAAAAAAGTACCCAAACCAGCAGTATCTGAGAGAGGGGATCTAGCACTATTCATTACTAGAGATCCTGGGTGCTGAAGCTGAGAAGGTTCTCTGTCCCCTTTCCAGGGATTCTCAGTAATCCCTGTGGTGGGGGTGGGAAGGCAGATGACAAGCAACATTCATTCTTGGACTTCAAAGAGCTGGGAAGACTGGGACTTCCAAGCACCCCTGGGGCACTGCCTATGCAATATTTGTCAACGACATTTTCTGCTAATTAGGCCCCTTAAAAACAAGCAGGGTTGTAAGTGAGGAACAAGGATCTATCCAGAAGGGTGGGTGGTCCATCCTGTGTAATGATGGGGCGCTCCAGTCTGTGAAGCGTGACACTCCCTTTATGTTCCTTCCCTCTGCCAAGAGTAACAAGTGTGTTTCCTACACGAGGATTAGAATTTACTGGAAGACCGTGGAAAGCCCTAGCACCAGAGACTGTCCGGCTAACATGAATTCCCTCCTGGACTGGTCTCATTTGGTCTTTTCTGACACCTGGAGCAAACTCTACCCCCACCTTTCCTTTTGTCAAAGGACCCTCTGTAGTCAGAAGAGCTCTGGACTGAGCAGGAGGCCTGCGTTGCAGGCCCCACTGTGCTACCAACAGGGGCTGTGTGTGAGGTGGGCTGTGGACGGTCACCTCGTGCTTCTGGACCAGATGCCTTCTCCCTAAAGTCCTTTCTCTTCGGTTCTTACAGCCATGGCATCAAGCATAAAGAGCAGGCATACAACGCATAGCCTTGTGCCATCACATGGGCACACCCTCACACATACCAATAAACACACACAAACACACACGCACACACACACAGACACATGCACACACACACTTCCTTTCAGTGCCCAAGTAAGAAGACAAACCTATCTTCAAGGTGAAAAATAAAGGCTCAGACTATCCTTTCCTTCAAATTCACCCAGGATGCCCTTTCTTGGGGCACATATGCTGCAGTGAAAGGAGAGCAGGCCGGGCTTGCTGGCTGTGTGGGTGCAGCTTCAGTGCCTGGCCCAATCCTTTCCTCCACGCCATGCTCCCTGCGTGTGTCCTTGGGCAAGCCACTCTCCAAGGGCCTCAGCATCCTCTGCAGTCCGGGTAGCAGCAGTTCCTGCCTCACAAGACTTTCGTTAGGATTGCTTGTGTCCATACATTGGTAGCTCCTAGAACAGGACCTGGCACCTGCTAGCAGCGAGAGTGATGTGGTGGCTCTCATTACCTCACCAAGCCATCTCTGGGTAAACCTCTGGCTTTTTTTTTCTGCTGAGATTTCTTTCCTTTTCATCTCAGCTCTTGGTCCTGCCAACTTAGGTTAAGAAATGTACTGACAAGAATCTTTGAAAATTCCTAGCAAAAGCCTCTTCCAGCACTGCATTAGTAAAATCACATTTCAGTCTCTAAAACAAACAAAAGCGGCCAGCCCAAACCTCCCCCGCCCCCAAAGTCACTTGGAAACACAAACATTAAGAGTGTGTACTCTGGTGTTGGAGGTGATTTATGATTTGGGCCTAGGGCTCTCCTCCCCCAATAATAAGCACAGAAGAGGAAGGGGTGATGGCTGGCAGGAGTTTCTGTTGGAGAAGTTTCTGCTAACAGTGGCTTTACTGTTAGGGTGCTGCCCGTTCCCCAGAACTGGGGGATGTCAGCCCATCACAGGAAACCACCAGGAGAAACTGCCTGGGACAGGCGCCATCTGTCTGCAGCTCTGTCATTTAGATAGTCGATAGATCAATCCACTGGGGCTGAGCCACAAACAGAGCTTGGCTTTGATATTTAGGAAGAGGAAAGATGCCTGACAGCTCCTTTCCAGGTTACATTTACACTCCTTGACTGTCCTTTGCTATTGTTTCTAGAAAAAAAAAATACTGATTGTGAAGTGTTCCTTTGGTGTTTTCTGTTAGCTTACAAATAAATTGGGTTTGAATCTAGTCTCACATTCACACACACACACACACACACACCCCCGAAAATAAAGCCCTTCCAACAAATTGCTTACATGCTGAGGCTCTGTGTTCCAGCAAGCCTTCAATTTATTTTAATGGACAAATAATAAATCCTTCCAAAGGGGGTATTTAGAATGGAAATGCTGATAGGTCCTTTAATTGTGACATGCTGCCAGGCACTGCTTTGACACGGAGTGCTGCAGTGTGCCCGGGGGATTGGATGGCATGCATCAGGACCACGGTGTTGGGGGGAGGGGGACGCAGAGCTCAGATGCTGTGCCTGGGCCCAGTAGTCTCACATTAGTGCTGGAATCAGCAGCACGGAGCTGTGGGTCCCAGGCTCATCAGAAACAACATGTTGTACAACTTGTTTTCAAGGAACTGACATTGTCATGGTGTTTGCAGTGTGTGTGCTGACTGATCCTCTGCCCCCCAGGTGGGTTCCTCAAGTCTTTCTTGGACTCTGTGGAACGTTGCTAATATTGCTGCTTCAAGTCATAGGATGTTAGGGGTGGGAGGTACCATCTGATTTCTAAAAGCATCAGGCTGTGGAGATAGAGTGGTCCAGAGAAACAGCACAATAGCCTGATGTCTCAGCTGTTGCCCCTCCCACGCAGGTAGGATCGCTGTCAAGGTCTCACCCTGTTAGGTCTGGACGGCCCCCATCTGTAGCGGTTTGTCACTAGCACCTGTCATTGTCTTCCTCTCTAGTTGCTCCTAGGTGGTGACAGCCTCTGCTCCCTAAGTTGCCTGAAGATTTCTCCCCACCTCCACTGCCCCCTGTTCCCTGGAGAATGCCACATCACCCAATGCTCCCTGAGGTCTGGGGGCTTAGGATGCCAGTGGGGAGCTCCCTCCCTTGCCTTCTACTGGGGACATGGACTGCAGGGTGTGTGCCCTGTGGTGTTACACAACTAACCTCTACCAACTCACGGCCACACTGACACAGTTGTGCACCCACTTATACCCTCACTTGAGTGCTGTATCCCCTGTTCCTTCTCTCCCCTTAGTTCAAAGCAAAACCTGTGCAAGTAAGATTCTGCAAATAGAATTATTTTGGATTTGCTCACAAGTGATCAGACACACTAAACTCTCCCTTTGGGTTCAAAATAGTATTCCTGAAACATCTGTAAGGAGTCCAAGGCCCAGAGAGGTGGAAATGTAATTTTAAGTATCAGGAACATCAAGTTTTTTTATTTGGACTGGTCTAAATATCCCTTTCCCTAAGCCCCTGGTGGCCTGCAATGCAGGGGGTGAGAATTAGACACCTGTGCACCCACTTGGGTCTGGTCTCTCCCCTCTGATCCCAGATTGACACATGCTTTGAGAGTGAAACCTCTTTCCCTCCTCCTTCAAGGTGGATCCCAGTGTACAGGCATGCTTGGGACCTATCTCCTAAGTTCCCAGCTTCCTTAACTTTTCCCTGCATGCTGAGGAAGGGGCATTCAACATCTCGGAAGTCTCTGGGCATTTGTTATTGGATTCTTGTGAGTTTCTGATTTAATCCATCAATAGAAAACATCACAACTGATGATGAAAAAGAGATTGTCCCAAAGAATACTTGCTATCTACAGAAGTACGAACGCTGAATGGACAGAGCACATGGATTGCACTGAACTAAGGGACAGAGGTAGGGAGTATGGCTGATAGACATGGCTTCACATCCCAGAATCACCACTTATCCAGGAGTATGGTCTTAGGCAGGTCATTTCTCTGAGTGCTAGTTTCCTTACCTGGAAACCTCTGCTCCAGGGTTATCACAGAAATCAGAGATAAGCTAGGTTTGTCCACTCACATACACCCATGTACACACATTTGTATATTCATATTCATGGTAGCATCATGCACAACAGCCAAAAGGTAGAAGCAACCCAAGTGGCCACTGGCCACTGACAGATGAAGGATGAACAAAATGTGTGGTCCGTACATACAATGAAATATGATTCAAATTCTGACATGTGCTGCAATATGGGTGAATGAAGAACTATGCTCAGTAGAATAAGCCAGTCAAAAGGACGAATATTGTATGATTCCACTTACATAAGGTGCCTAGAATAGTCAAATTCATAGAGACAGAAAGTAGGATGGTGAGTACCGGGGACTGAGCATGGAGAAGAGACAGTTATAGTTTAATAGGCACAGAGTTTCAGTTTAGAATAATGAAAAAGTTCTGGAGATGGATGGTGGTGATGGTTGCATAGCAATGTGAATGTAATTAATGCCACTGAATTGTAATTGAAAAAATGGCTAAAATGGTAAATTTGTTATGAATAGCTTACCGCACATATAATATACACTGAAAATCACTGTAGGTGGCACACTGAGAGTGTCTGGCACATGTCTGGAAGCTCAATAGATGGTTGCTACGATCATCATTTGCAGGAGATCGGACACAGGTCTGAGTCCACTGTGAACCAGCTGGAACCATTTATGATGCTCTGTGTTGCCCTTGCTCCATTTGTAAAAAGATGCCTGACACTTCTCCCATCTTTCCTTTGTGACCTCCAAATGAGATCGTTGATTCTTTATGGGATATTCAGGAAATATTTAGTTTAATAGACTCATTGAAAATAATGGAGCTAAGATCAATTTAAAACTGTCAATTTGCTCTTTGGAGAGAGAAATTTCTGCCCCTCTTCCGTCTGCCCCAAGCTGGATTTCTTAGACTTGCTTTAAGAAAATGGTAAGTAACATTGGGACCTCCAGAAGGACAAGTTACTCGGCCTGGGCTTGGAATCTACGGCCTCTCCTCGGACTGCAGAGGCCTTTTTCTCACAAAAAAGGTCCCCCGAAGTGAGAAAGCAGATTTTCTTCTGTCCTAAAAAATGCAGTTCCAGCCTGATCCTCCCTCAGAATGGTCACTAAGAAAGCAAAATGTGTCTAATGCTAACAGAGCCCCGATTCATTGCTTCCAGAGCCTGCAGCGTTTTATACTCACTCTGCAAGCATAATCAAGGGAGTGATTCTGAACCTTGTTAATCAGAAAGGGCCCTTTAAAAATGTCATGCTGTCAATATAAAACTTTGCTAAATTGCATTATAAATGCCAGATTCAGTCAACTAACACATTTAACACCGTTTCTTAAGTACAGTTTAGATTTTATCCATGCCAGGGAGAAAGAGAAAAATACCTCAGGAGAGCCCAGGCCTGCGGATTCATTGTGCTAAGCTCACTTCCCCCAGAGAGGGATTAGAAATATTTATTCCAAATCCAAGCTGTACTTCTGGCATTCTTGTCAATAAGGTGTCCCCCCAACGTTGCTGGCTTTAGAACTGGATGATTCTCAGTTATGAAGGTTAGAAGGGGTGAGCCCTTTACACTTGTTTTTTCATTAGCAGGCAATGCCTAAAGCTGTTGTTTTATACCAGAGGGGAAAGGTTTCTTGCAAGTCAAGAGCTAAACATCGTGTGCACACCTGTTAAAAATAAGACCTTATTTTTTACATCTGCAGAGTCCGAAATAGCCCTTCAATGTGAAACGACATTGTTCTTTGTTTTGGGGAGAATTCATTGTCAAGTTAACAGAGAACTAACCTTTCTCCTCCCCTCCCACCAAATGAGGCTATTTCTACACTATTTTGACTAATTTGATTATGTCTTTTTCTCTATGATCCTGTTCAGAATAGAAAAGGTTTAATTGAAAACTTATAGCTTGAAGTTTGGCTAAACAGCACTTTAAGGATCTGAAGATGGTGACCAAACATTGTGATTTCCTATTAAAAAAAATCTTAAGATAATGAGATGATTTTTTCCGTGTTACATGCGTAAGCTTATTCTGAGATGAAAGGGTCTAAGTACACACAGCAGGATAATATTTTAAAATATTAACCAATTTCCCCCCTTTCCTCCTGCCTGTTCTTCCTTTTACCTGTTCACCTCTTTCAAGCTAGACTGTTCCAAATTCATTATCTCAGGAAGCAGTGACCTAGGGGAAGCCTGGAGTTTTTTCCTGGCTTTTGAATTTCAAGTCTTGCCCTGAGAAAAAAATGCAAAGAACTTGTAAGCATTATAAAATAGCTGGCATTTCCTGAGAACTTTCTGTGTTATACGTAACATTTAAAGCATGCTTTTATGTGTGTGTGTGTGTGTGTGTGTGTGTGTGTGTGTGTGTGTTTGTTTTTCTCTACAACTCAGTAAGATAGGTACTCTTAATACCCCTATTTTACAGATGAGAAAACTGAGGTAGAGAGAAATGGAGTATTTTGCCCATCATAGCATCTCTGGTGAGCAGCAGAATTGGCTCACTATTCCAGCAGTGTGTCTCCAGTGCTCACATTTCAAACCACTGCACCAAGCTCCTTGTTAATGTGCAGGAAGTTCTTGGGAATGTACTCAGTATTTCCACCTGTGAAAAGGAAGGGACTTTAGCAGCATTGGATAGGAGAAGAAGTTGGGCTCTGGGGTGATGTCAAGAAAGCCTTTGGCTGACCAGAGGAGAGATCTGAGGCTGGAGTGACCCTTCAGAGCCATCTCAAACTGGGGCAACACATTTGGGTCTTCATATTCCTGCATGGACCAGTCATTGGATGCAGGCTGCCCTGAGACAGGTATGGCTTTGGATGGAGGTTACTCTCTTCAGTTGTGGGAATTCCCATGTGGGCGCCCAGCAGAGGGCCATCTTCCAGCAGCACTCCCAGTAGCTGAGGGAGAAGTCCTTCAGTCCTCAGGCCCAATCTGGATGGCACACCAGTGTCCTAGTACTACAGAAAGGGGAGAAGCCAAGCGGGGGTACAATTCCTCACTTCAGCCTCATCCCTCAAGGACATCTGAGTATAAATGATGCCTCAGAGTGTGTGCCAACCCGAGATAAGAGATCTGAGCTTTTAAACTCCCTTACCCATTAGTCTTAGGCTAAACATCACCCTGGGAGTCGGGAGATTTGGATCTAAACTCCGAGACACTTCAGGCTCTCTGCGTGTGCATGTCCAAGGGTAGAGCTCAGAAGAGAGTCACAGGTGCATGCCATTAAAAGCAAATGTACACAGAGGCCAAGGGATGGGCACAAAAGGGCAGTTGAAAGAATCCACGTGATCATCTGCTCCAGCTTCTATAAACCTGAGAACATTCCCTGAACTGGAGGTAAGCAGCGAATCGGAGGAGAGAGATGAGTCGCTAAGCAAAGGCATATGCATATGCATCTGCCAAGAGAGCACTGGGTCCCAGGCAGGCTTGAGGGACAGGAGAGCAGAGGGACTCTCAGCCTCCCTTTCACGGAGAGCCTTGTGGGGAAAGGGGACTCCAGAGGGAAGAGGGCTGTGTGGGGTCTACAAGGGACCTTGTGGAGCTTGTCAGAGAGGGGTGTACCCAAAGATTCCCATGTGCCTGGGAGAGGAAGAGAGGTGGCTGGGGTGTCCTAGAGTTCTGGACACCTAGGGTGGATAGGAGCAGCAGGACAATCCTGTGAATGGAGGAGGACAGAACATTAGAGCCACAGGGGAGGGTGCAGCCATCTGTGTGCGTGGATCTCTGAGGATGAGGCCAGGCAGTGGCACTCAGTGGATGCCAATGTGAACACAGAGCAGTGGGGACCCATATCCTGCCTGGCATCTTGGTAGAGGACATCATTACCCCTGAATTCACGTGGGAGATGACGGGACCCTGAACTGACCAAGAACACATTCAGTCACCTGTACAGATGGAGGCTGAGAATAGAAATTGAGTTCAAGGAAACTAAAGAAAGCTACATTTCTCATCCACATGCATTTATGGAATGAGTTTGCCACTGCCATAGGTAGTAACTATTAACACGATCTTGTGAAAATTTCTGAACTATATACACGATGCTTCTGATGACAGGTGTTAGCTTGGCCTGTTTTAGCTCAGCATAAGTACTGCTTTGTTGAAATTTTCTCTTTCTTACATAAAGAATGAATTAGACTCTGATACACTGTGCCAGGACTGAATCGACTGACGGAGGGATAGATTACGCAAGTAAAACCCAGGCCCCTAAGGAAGAGAATATACTTTACGGACTTCACTTTGATTCTGTGTCAGCGGTTTTGACATCATAACCCATGTGCCCAACACATAGAACCACAGGGGCACGCGCGCACACACACACACACACACACACACACGGACACTGTCTTCTGAGGCTTTTATTTCTTTTTCTTTCTTTTTTCTTCATGCTACAGTGAACTGGGAGAACAAAAAAAAAGCTAAAGAAATACATGCCCGCTTAGAGGCGTGTGTGCGAGTATGTGTGTGTGTGTGTGTGTGTGTGTGTGTGTGTGTGTGTGTGCGCGCACCGTGCCTTTTTCACCCAGGGTCTCCGAGCTGCAGTTTCCCTCTTGGAGCTTTTCTTGTCTATTTCAAAGCCCCTTCACAAGTTTAACACTGACAGGGAGAACAATGAAAAGTGAGCCGCAGCTTAGAAATGAACAGAAAGAAGTGACTGACTTTGGGCTACTCTGCTGGGGTAAATGGACTATAAAATGTAATTTTAGATTAAATAGGTGTTTTATGTACAACACGATATTGATTTTGTTTCTGCAGGCAGAGGCTGAAGAATTGTGTGCCGCCCATTTATGTGTATAACTGTGTGTGTGTGTGTGTCAGAGAACCTGGGCAGATTATGAGGGTGAGTTTTAATTTAACTTAACTGTACAGAAAGAGCTTGATGACTAATATCTTTGGCTTTCAATTCTTCTTAGTATTGAAATAATGCCTATTCTTCCTTCACCCTAACCTGTATGCTTTTATAGCCTTTGTCAACTCTTTTTAAAAAGTCCCCGCTCTCTCCCCAGCACTGGTGACTGTGACATCACCCATCAGCTCTATACTCCGCTGTTCCAGCCTCACACTTTCATCTTTGTCCTTAACGGAGTGGCGAGAAAGGCCACACTAATCTTCAGAAGCAGGAACATACGGGTGCTCTTCCATCATTTTACCGCTAATATCACTTCCACCTCTCCAGAAAAAAAAATAATAATAATAAGATGTAAAAGGTCACGTGGGATTCTTCCTCCAAATCACTGTTTGAAGGTCACCTTCAGTGATATATTGAAGAGATGTGGGAACACCCACATCCTCAAGGTGGAAGGGTCAGCAGGGCCGTAGGCACAACTGAGATAAGGGATGTTTGCCTTCACCTTCCTCCATGTGTATACTTCCTTAATCCTTGTAGCAAGTCCTGCGTGGTCCCCAAACTCAGGGCCTAATATTTTCTAGAATGTTCCATGGAGCAGAAAAAATGATCTGATCAACTCATTTACATGAATAACTTCATGCATTTCAAGTTAAGGAAAAAACCCTGAAAGATATTTTGTAGTTGTTGGCAAGGATGAGGAGAATAGGCATTCTCTTTTATACTACTTTGTAGGGGAGAATTTGGTCTACAAAAGTCTTAAAAATTAGTCCACCCATTGATTCAGTAATTCGCTTTCTAGGACCTTATCTTAAGGGAATAATTGGAAATGTGTACTAAAATGTATGCACTTGAATGTTCACTGTAGTATAATTTATAATGGCCACAAACTGAAAATAACCTATTGTGTCTGTTCTTCTTCATATAAGAACGCAAGTCATTGGATTTAGGGCCCACCTTAAACTCAGAACAATTTCATCTCAAGATCCTTAACTAATTACGTCTGTTAATACTCTCTTTCAAATAAGGCCACAGTCTGAGGTTCCAGGGGGACATGAATTCTGGGGAGGCAACACTCAACCCAACACAGGACTGAAACTGGAAAATGAAAAATTATAGGGAGTCCAAGGAATTTCTTTCCTTCCGTCTCTTGTCCCTGCTTCTCTCTAAAAATCTTCTCCAATTATCCGTATCTTAGCCAACTGTTCTGCTTCTTCTTTATCATGGGAGGATATGGCTGTTCCACACCTCCCCAAAATGGTTTATAACTCCACAAGAAACTGGGAGTCTCTAGGCTCCAAATTTCATTTCCTAGGAAGGATAATCTTCTTTGCTGAGCTTAGTTTATGGGTTCATTCCAGGCCAATATATTTTGACCAGAAGAATCGAGCCACAGTGTTATCATATCTTTGGAGCAAAGGCTATTAATTCTCTGGTTAGCTTGTGAGCTAAGTGGACACCCAAAGAATATCTTATACACAGAGAATGGGTTAAATTATGGCACAGTCATACCATCAGAAATTACTTTGCAGGCTGGGTGTGGTGACTCACACCTGTAATCCCAGCACTTTGGGAGGCCATGGCAGGTGGATCATGAGGTTAAGAGATGGAGACCATCCTGGCCAACATGGTGAAACCCCGTTTCTACTAAAAATACAAAACTTAGTTGGGCGTGGTGGCACACACCTGTAGTCCCAGCTACTAGGAAGGCTGAGGCGGGAGAATCGCTTGAACCCAGGAGGCAGAGGTTGCAGTGAGCGGAGATTGCACCACTGCACTCCAGCCTGGCGACAGAGTGAGACTCCATCTCAAAAAAAAAATTGTTTTGCAGAAGAAATGCAAATGTCAAGGTAACATACTGATAATTAAGTGAGACAAGCAAGTTATAAGACAATATATGTATATTATTCCCATGTGTCTAATATGCACACATACATACACATACACACACACACACACACACACACACACACAGAGTTAAGGATAGAAGAATGTACACTAGAAAATTTACAGTACTATCACTAGATGATAGATTATGCATAGGCTTTAATTTTTTTGTTTTTTTCCACCAATTTACTTTTAAATCCCATTTAAAATTCTTTTAAATAGATTTGATAAAGGATTTCTAACACAAAATAGTGACTTACCAATAGTGAAATTTAAGACATAAATTAAGTAAATTTGGAGGTAATACCATAGGGGATATTTATGGGGTTATTTGCCTAATGCACAAAGATTTCTCTTTCCCTGAATTTCAATGACACCATCTCCTGTAAACTCTGGATCCAAAGGGGTAGGCATATTCTACCATGTGGACCAGGGATGCAGGGAAACTCAATCTGCAGAGAAGAGAAATGATAATAAAACTGATGTCACAAGAGGTACAAAGACAAAACCACAGAGGGTCTGGACAACTCTTCAGATACGATTTAATCCCTTCCCAGATCTCTTGATATTTCTGCTCCTGGGTTCATTCCAACACTTCTTTATGTTGATAATAAATGTCTTTTTGTGTTTACATGAGCTTGATTTGATTTCTCTTTCTTGAAACCAAAGAGTTTTGACCAATACGAGACCCTTCACAGTTTCTGCAAAGCAAAACTTGCAGGTGAGCACAGAGAGGTATTTCCAGTTCTAAGGAGAGTTCAGTAAGCGAAATCCTCTGATATGAGGACCAACCTTCTGGAGACTGCTATGCCCCTGAGTGCATAAGGCACAAGCCAATGAATAAAGAAAAGTCATAAAAGTAAGCTGATGATGAGAAGGAAGAGGTGAGCAAGAGGCAGATGAAAGAGGAAGTCAGTAGAGGGGAAAGGAAGCCTAGAGGATGAGAGGGCCCTAGAATCTAGAATGTCAGTAGAAATTCCTTCAAAAGGCTCTCCTGACCCTGGGTCATATTTCATTCAGATTAGCTCACTGTTCACCTTGCCTTTTATGAAGGTCAAATTAGTTCCAAAATTAGAGAAGCCTTTACCGACTTGACCTTCATGGCCATTAGGTTGGCCAGCATACCCTCCAGTTCCTGGTTTCTGATTTCCATTAGGTACAGCAACCTTTTGAAGGTCCAAATACTGGGTTTCTGGAGGAGATGTTATCTCCTAATTCCACTTAGTATGGACAGCTGCAGGCTGGGCACGTGGGCTCAGTTTCCTTCACTGACCACAATCCAAACCAACATCTCACTTGTCTCACAACATCTCAACAGCTCCCAAGTTCCATTTCCCAGTTATCTCTAAGGAAACTGTATCCCAGGACTCTTCAAAAGTCAGGCAACGCTTCTGTACGGCCTTCCAGATCCCAATGTTTTACCGTCACTGTTTAAAAATCAATACCACATTAACAGATTATTATCTATTGAATAAAATCAGAATCTGTGGGTCCACATTGATATAAATAAAAATAAAAAATAAGAGAAAAGGAAGTGGAATGCCAACTAATAAGTGTCACAGGAATAATAAAATTAGGAAATTATCATTTGACAAATATCACGGTTATAGTGGATTGAGGGAAGAATTATCAGTGGGTGCTAAAATTGGTGAGCGAAAGTTTGATGACAAACAGGATGTTGACCTAGTTGTGAAGTATCTTGCAACAAGATTATTATTAATTACGAAGACCCAGTTGTAACTTTATAGTGGAGAAACCCGACAGGCTGAGCTTTAACCAAATGATCAAAGTTAACCTCATCACTTACCCAGCAAATAGGTGTCCTGTGCCTCCTGACCCAGCGCATGAGGGAGTCACATCTTGTGCGGTGGCCTCTCTGCCCAAAGCACATTATCTTAATCTAATCACAGGGAAAACAGCAAACAAATCCAAATTGAGGGACATTCTACAAAAATTTCAAGTTCATGAGAGACAAAGACTATAAAATACTCCAGAACTATTCTAGTTTAGAGGAGACTAGAAAGTCAAAACAATTAAATGTAACACACAATCCTGGACTGAATCCTGAGCCAGAAAAAAAAGTATTTTATTTTGCTATAAAGTATATGATTAGGAGAATTTAAAACTTTGAACGAAGTCTATGAATTACATGATATTAACTGAAGAATTTAGGAGTAAAAGGACATAATGCCCGTGTATTAGTCCATTTTCATGCTGCTGATAAAGGCATACCCGACGTTGGGTAATTTATGAAGAAAAGAGGTTTAATTGGATCACAGTTCCACATGGCTGGGGAGGTTTCACAATCATGACGAAAGGCAAGGAGGAGCAAGTCACATTCTCCATGGCGGCAGGGAAGAGAGAACTTACGCAGGGGAACTCCTTTTTATAAAACCATCGGATCTCATGAGACTCATTCACTATCATGAGGACAGCATGGAAAAGACCCACCCCCATGATTCAATCATCTCCCACTTTGTCCCTCCCATGACGCATGGGAATTGTGGGAGCTACAATTCAGGATGAGATTTGGGTGGAGACAGAGCCAAACCATATCAGCCTGCAACTTAATCAACAGTTCAGAAAAGAAAATTACATACTGCTTCTCGGCCTTTTGGCTAAGATCAAGTGCAGAAAAGAAAATTATATCTCTTAGTTGTATTATTAAAATTATATATATATGTATGCACACACACACAGAGAGTACGGCAAAGAAAATGTGGTAAAGGCAAAATACTAACATTTGGGGATGTGGGGTAAAGTTATTTTGGAAATATTTTGTTCTGTTGCAACTTTTTTCTAAGTCTGGAATTATTTCAAAATAATAAATAAATAAATACCACTCATTTTTCTTAGCATCAAGCAGCAGTAGCTTATTTTTCCAATAGTTGATAAACTGTCATTTTCTCCCTGCAGAGTTTTGACTTCAGCTTCTTCATGGGAGGTTCCTTCCCCAAGTCCCCTTCTTCTCTTCCAGCTGCTTGGTGTTTGTCACCGCTGGCCTTGTCTCGGGTTGTCAATGGGCCCAGGGGCCTTGCTGCTCTGTCTATGTAGACAGTCACCTGGGACGTAGCCATGGCTGGTGTGCATGGGGCTAGGCGCATCTGCGGGAAGCTGCGGGGTGGCTCAGGAAGCCAGGCTGTCTCCTTGCATCTTCCCAGCACTTTGGTGACAAGGAGCTGCCCTGAACTGGTGGGCACAAAAAGCACTCCCTACCAGTAAGGAGCTGAGTGTGACACTGAGGGAAGGAGAGGTGATGGAGGTGAGGGGACATCTCTGCTTTCGCTCTCCTCTCCAGGAACAGCGTGCTGACCTTCAGAACTTTTTAGGGTTTTTCTCCCTAATGATTGCTATCAGGTATGTCTTCGCCAGGGTTCCCTAGCCCTTCTGAAGAATTAATCCTTCCCTGCTAGAATACTACCCCTTCACACACACACACGTGTACCTGCACACACACACCACACACATATGCACACATACTAACGGAGACCATCTCCTTACACAAGATTTCCCTGGGCCTGTCTTGGTCTTACATTACTCAGTACTCAGAAACTGAACATCAACAGTTAAGTGTGACATCTGGGTACAATCGCCAGTCAGGAACACTCAGCAGGGCTCCAGGTGCAAGCAGGGCAACGCTGGCTTTCCAGGACATTATAAATGCCCAGTATAAGATATCTGTGTCTGGTTCTGTCAGACACATCATAAAACCTCGGAACTTCCATGCTGATGGTAAATGTCCCTAACAGCTAGTTGCCTTTCCGTAGGGGTTTCAATAGGGCATTCATTGAAGGTAGGAAAAAATATATTATTGATGTCCCTGAAGGGAAATAAATGCTTCAGATGTGATGCCAGACTGTGTGGTCATCACGTTGCGGCACACAGTTTAACTGGGGCAGTGTTGCAGAATGGTCAGGAGCCAGCTCTCAGATACTCAGGGATTGGAGTTCAGAGGGGACCTCAACGAAGTCACTGGCTGGAATGAGGATTGGCTTGAGATGGAATTGGCAGGGTGGTAGAGAGATGGTCACGTCTGGGAGCGCGCTCAGTCATGAGATGGAGCCTGCTGGTTGATGGGGACTTGGTCGTCTATAGTGCAGCAAGGAGGGGCTTGGAGACGCAATGCTGCCATTCTGGGTGGAGGTGGGAGGAAGATGCTAGGGGACCAGAGATCTCACAGGTCATTTGTGAGGGTGGTTGTTTTATAGGGACCTTTGAAGAAAATGCATTTTCTTCACTGAGCTCGCCTAGAACCGTGAGTGAGTGATGAATTAGCATGGTCCTCTGCCTGGAAGATGGCTGGGAACTGGGACAAACAACCGCCTCATTGGAAACCAACTACGGTAGACGTGGATGAAGAAATGCTGTGCTTGGCAGCTGGGAAAGAATTTGGTTTCTTCTGAAGACCAACAGGGAGAAACTGACTACTGATTAAAGCTGCGTGACGTACTGCAATTGCGTTCTCAGGAGGTTGTCCAAATCTTTTCCTAATTTAGGTTTGCATGGGTTTCCCTCCTAGTCATTCATTACATAAAAGCAGTTTGTTTCAAAGACAGACTCGGCAGGCCGGGCACAGTGGCTCACGCCTGTAATCCCAGCACTTTGGGAGGCCGAGGCGGGCGAATCACAAGGTCAGGAGATCGAGACCAGCCTGGCCAACACAGTGAAACCCCGTCTCTACTAAAAATACAAAAAATTAGCCGGGCGTGGTGGCGGGCGCCTGCCAGCTACTCAGAAGGCTGAGGCAGGAGAATTGCTTGAATCTGGAAACCGGAGGTTGCAATGAGCCGAGATCACGCCACTGCACTGCAGCCTGGGGAACAGTGCAAGACTCCTCTCAAAAAAAAAAAAAGAAAAGACAGACTCAGCAAAACTGCTGGGGTCTGCACCTTTGCCCCTGAACATCATAAAATCCCATCTTGGTGCCAAAAGTGGATGATGCTTTCAGAGGCTTAGATGAAGTTTCATTTTGAAACCTCGTTTTGAAATGCCTGGGAATGATAAGCCAGCTCAGGGCAAAGTTGGGAAATACCAATGCCGCTAGCAACTAAGCCAGATTTTGTTCACAAAAGTTTAGGCCCAGAGGTCTTCCTGGTGAGCAACTTATCCCTGAAGAGAGATCAAGCATTCGCCCAAACTGCAAAATCTCAAAACAGCAGGATACGAAGTGAATTCTGTAACTTAAGAATAATGTTTCAAAATGTTTGAGTAATTTGTCATGTATTTTTCTCATCTCACCCTCAGGATAATCTTAACAAACCTTTGCTGTCTTTCAACAAATATTTCTGAGTGCCTTGTAGAATTTGTAACTAAGCAAGGTACTTGGGACATCGTGGGAGAAGAGACAGGTGTGGTCTCTGGCCTCACAAATTTAGCTTGTGCTGGAAGAAGACACTAATTATAGATGTTACTTAATTCCAAGGTAGAATGACAATTTCTTTCCTTTATTTTACCAAGGAGAAAACTGAGGCTCACTGAGATTCAGGGATAATTCCCCATCCCCAGAACTACAAGCAAGAGCTACTGCTTTTTCCCATTATGTCTCCTATTTCTTATGATAAATAGTTTTGATTATTAGGTAACACTTCTTTGTCACACAAATGTAACTTCAGGTGAAAATCTGCTGTGCAATAATAACCAATAGGAATTTATTAAATCTAGACAATTTCCCCTACCTATTCTATGTTTTGGCCCATTTTCATTGTACTGGTAAATTCTGATAAAATATCAGAGTTTTCATTTCCTTTACATATAGTTGCACTAAAACTTTAAGAAGGCATGACTGAATGTGACTTCTCAAATCTATTTTTCTCTACAATGTGCTACCTATGTCAAAAATATCGTTACAAAAAAATTCACAAGATTAGATTGTTTTACTCTTTTCTGTCTACTCTGCACCTAGAACAATGCCTGGTACATAGTAGTTGCTTGATAAATGTTGAATGAATAAATGACTGGTTTTAGTTTTTTTTTTTTAATTGTGCACTTTCTCTCGTGCCCTCTCTGTCACGTGTGCCCCCTCTCTTCCTCTCTCTCTCTCCCTCTCTTCCTCTCTCTCTCTCCCTCTCTCTCTCTATATATAGCCTGTATAGCTTTACTATACAGAGTACAGATTTAGAATTTAGTATTGATCAAATTAGGTTTTAGTATTGTTTTAAAGAAATCCTATTTTCCTTCTTTCTTCACATAGAACATGAACTTAAATTACACAAACTGCCCTGCTTATTCACTTGAACTTATACAACCTATAAAACCCAATGTTGAGGTGAACATTCTTAATCTTATATAAGAAAATTTCAGTTAGCCAAGCTAATTAAGGAGAACTGGTTATCCAATAATTTCAGAAATTAATAGTACCAGAATTGTTATAATAGGATGTCTCAAAAGATCTTCCCCAAAGGGGATCGTTTAGGCTGGGCACAGTGGCTCATTCCTGTGATCCCAGCACTTTGCTTGGGCTCAGAAGTTTGAGACCAGCCTTGGCAACATGGGAAAACCCTGTCTCTACAAAAAATATAAAAATTAGCCAGGTGTGGTGGCACAAACCTGTAGTTCCAGCTACTTGGGAGGCTGAGGTAGGAAGATCACTTAAGTTTGGGAGGTTGAGGCTGCAGTGAGCCGTGATCATGCCAGTGCACTCCAGCCTGGGCAACAGAGTAAGACCCTGTCTCCAAAAAAAAAAGGGGGAATAGTTTAGTTGAGCATGAGTTGAATGATATGTAAACATATCTGGAGTCATCTTGAAGCATATTTCAATATGCCTGTTGACTGTGTGCCTTTTATATGGGCTTCATTTTCATTAGGCTGACCACAACATTCAGAATATATAGTCAATATTATCTGTAATGACAACAGTGCGATTAGCAAACTTCTTGCTTCTACTAGAGGAAATCGAAGACATGGGCGGAAAGGCATCAACTAAACAAATAGGAAAACTGTAAGTAAAGAGCTCCAACAGGAGCTGGACAAGATAACTGTGGGAAGAAAGTGATGAGTATATTTTGTGGACCTTTCAAGGGGTTCTGTACTTCCAAGTTGTCTCACATAATTGTGTATGAATGCTTGAGCATGTACATGGAGCTCTAAGTCATCTTCACATGGCTTTGGTCCATCCCAATGACATGCTTCTCTTGTCTAATAATGCCTTTCATGCTGTATGGTTGATCCACTTGGAAATCCAGGAAAGTGAGAGGATCAAGGTCCTGCACATACAGTGGTTGGCCAGACCTTGGAGCATCACACTGGGATTGGTCCCCACTGCTGGATTCCTTTTCACCATGGATGGATGGCAGCTTAAGACAGTTGGTGAAGTTGAAGCACCATGCTGTACATTTTTTCTAAATCTAAGAATTGGTTCCACTGCCAGCAGGGACTGCTTGGTGAAAGGTGACAAGAGTTATTGAAAATGACAGGCTGTATTTTGCAGAATGACCTTGTTTTCTTCTATTTATTTATTGCCCAGTAAATGGAATGTTCATGGGAAAGAATTTTTAGGCGCCTTCGTGTTTGTCTTTGGAATATATTTTCCTACATAGGATAGCACACAGCTTCTCCATAAAGGATCGTCAACAGAGATCATTTGTTGCAATTCTGTGGTTACAAGTACGAGGAAATAGGGACAAATATGAAAAATATGAGAACTTAAGTAACTTGTTCAAGGTCATCAGATCAGTTAGTAACCAAAGCTAAATCCAAGACTCAAGATTCCCAGTGAATTGCACATGTCCCCATAAGCAAATACAGACATTTCAAACCAGATTTCTCCCACCCTCCCTCCCAAAACTCATTTTTCATGAATTTCTTTTTTTGTTCTGGGACTAATTACAAACTTAGAGTTTAGGCACTGAGCCAAACCCGACTATTATTGCTTCAGGTTCGGTCAGGGTAAATACTTAAGGCAGAGATTTTCTGACTGTGCCCTGCGAAGCCTCCTCAAGAGCCACTGCACAGTTATAATCACATGTGAGTATGTGCTGTGGCTCATATGCACATGTGTGTGCATGTGTAATGGAGGCAAGGCTTAACATCTTGTCCCCCAACTTTGATAAGATTGCCTCTTTGTAACCCACTTACTCTGGTAAGATTTTGTTGGAAAAACAACAAAAATGCCTATGATGTCAGACATTCCTGGAAACACACATCATCCTATCCCATCATTACTTTTCTTTGAGTCCCAGAAGAAAAAAATTCTATTTTAATTGTAAAATTATCATTTACAGTATAGAGTCCAATACTGTTGACAGTTTTGTCACTTTGGGCTTTCTGGTTTTCATGCTCCATTCATTATTTATTGGCTGGTTTTTATTTGTTGGCTTGCTTTCTGTTTAATTACCAACATGACTAGCAGACATTTTATATGTAGTATCATTTTTTTTCATATGCATACTTGAAAGTCAAAACTTTGCAATAGAACAATATGCTGATGCACCAAATTGATCAGTATGGGCCACAAGCTTGGATCTTTCCAAAAGAATACAGATGCTCCTTGACTTATGATGGGTTACATCCCAATAAACCCATTGCTTCATAAGTTGAAAATGCATTTAATATACCCAACCTACTGATCATCACTGCTTAGCCTAGCCTCCCTTAAGCATGCTCAAACACTTACATTAGCCTACAGTTGGGCAAAATCATCTGGCAGCACAGTACACTGTAGAGTATCAGGTGTGTCACCTCGTGTTCACAGGGCTGACTGGGCAATGTGCTCACTACCACTGCCCAGTATTTTGAGATAGTGTCATACCACATATTGCTATCCAAAGAAAAGATCAAAAACCAAAATTCAAAAATCAGTTTATACTGAAGGATTATTGCCTTCACACCATTGTGAAGTCAAAAAACCAAAGCCGAACCATCGTAAGTTGGGGGTCATCTGCACAACTGATAAAGGCACATCAGAATATTACTTTTGATAATAAATGTACAAACTGTAGTATCCCCATGCCTAGTATGTAGACCTGAAATACTGTGGGGGGGATCCCCTCTCCTCCCTTCCACACCCACAATGCAGATTTTGGCCTGAAAGCAGGACATTTGGTGGAATAGAAAACGTAGAAAGTGTTAAACTTCAGACTTAGCTGCAAATTCAGATGGAAATTATTTGGTAGCTGTGGCTTACTCACAAGTAAATAATATACCTGAAGGTATCTGAAAATTATCTTTCTTTCATGAGCATACAGTTTTGCTGGCTTTGCCTCAAGGCAAATAACCACGGGAGAGTTAATACAGAAAGTTCTTATTAGAAATTCCTTATAACCAGGGTAGACTAATTAGCTCTTCCTAAGAGTTCATTTTGAGGTTGGAGAAAGCATGAAAGCAGTGGAAACTGGCATGGGAGATGGAATGTCACTGAGGGGGCACAAACAGAATCACATGGTGGTATGCAAGGGAAAGATGCTGAAGACCAGCTCTATCTGTGTTATAAACTAAAAAGAAGTAGGGGGAGCTAAAATTTGGAATCTAAAGCCATTATTTTTCTGACTTATCCAGTGCAAATAACCCAATACAGACATATAATATATGCTACAGGTTTTTAAAGGCAAAATTGTCTTACTCCTTTCTGCATATCCAACACCTAATATAGAACCTGACACACTGTAATTCCTCCTTAAATGTTTATTGTTTTTAGTAAATAAGTGAGTATTTAACACACATGTGTATATGTGTTTCTCTACCAGAGAAAATAATTTGTTTCTTAGATTGATGTATTCCATGGTAGTACATAGGAAATTAGATGCCCTTTTCATCTAATATGCATGCAATTGACCATTCTGAACTAAGAAATTGGACTTCTTTGAATTCTGATGCTCTCAGACAAAAATAGAGATAAATGTTTAACCATCCTTCTCTGTGCCCTCATGGAACTGTGTGGTCTCCCTGGGCTGGCTCATTTAACATTGAATGTATAAGTTAGAGTTCTCATCTCTCGGTAACAGAAGACACTAGAGTTAGTACAAAAAAATTCTTCCTCACCTGTAATGTAAAGCAAACAAAAATATGCAAGAATATTTTGAGATATCAGGTCTATAAAACCTTTGACATATGCATACTAATTTTGTGATGAATCTGTCATGTTTTTATAACTATGAGCTTATAAAGTTTTCTCAGAAACTGTTTAAGACAGCAACAAAAACCACACACACATTTTGCTGTTTTTTAAAAAATAGATCTGTATTTCCTAAGCCATGGAGCTTCCATTCACAGAAAGAGCTAAGTCAGGAGAGAAAAAGCCACAGAAGGAGATTATATCAGCCAAATGAACCAAATCAGAAAAAGAGAATACTATTTGCAATTTAACCAGCCAAGTTAAACATGACGTGATTAGAGCCAGTCTTTGGGGACCAAGTTAGTAGTAATTGTGCCTTGTTTAACTTGGCCAATTAAAGGCCAAACTTTCCTAAATTGGCTATTTTCAAAGCAATCACACCTTTGCACTTGGAACTTTTTTCAGATTGCCATTTTTAATTTAGGTATTTGACTAGTTAATGGATATATGTGTACATGGGCCCGTGCCTAAATATTTGCACATAATACAAAATTAATACACATTTGTATTGGGCAGAATAATTGGCTTCTGATTAATATGCTGTTTAATAAGATCAGGGTCATATGCATTTTTTCCTGTTCAATAACTTACAACATCTGGAGAAAGTATTGAAGCTAAGGGAAGAATTATTAGCTAAGTTAAGGGAAGAGTCCTAGAAAGTAACTATTATAACTATAATAGGAAAAAATAACCTAAGCAACTAGGGCTTTGATAGCAAAAGTACGCAAGAAGACTACATGTTAGTTTTTCTACCAACCCTGAGTACATCCTCATTTACTCATCACCATAGTCAGCTGATATTTATTGAATGCTCATTCTGCGCAGAGAACTGCTCTTGACTAGGCCCTGGATGACTCCAGCCAAAGCTCCGGAAATTATCCCTGTCTCAAGAAGTATCTACTCCAAGAAGAAAACAAGAAGAGACCCAAATTGTGTGAGACATAAATACAAGGTACAGAAAGCTGGAATCAGTTACCCAACTTTCCTTAGTGGGATAAAAGTATATAAATAAGTACTAAGACTTAGGACACAGAAGAACAGAAACGAGATGGGCATGGCTCTGTAAATGAAGCCTGATGGAGGTAGCCAAAAAAGGTTTTCTGGGGAAGCTTAGTAATCACTGGAAAAAAAGGGTAGGAGACCTCACAACTAAAGGAAATGACAGAACGGTAGCTTTGTAGAAGAAAAGCAATATGCGCTTTTCGCAATGCCACCAGGAAATAGGGGCAGATGTATTTTTACAGGAAATGTGGATTCATATATACAGGCTAGAGTAGACTTCAAGATCTAAGAACATTTTCTGCCTAACAGAATGAGCAGTTGCTTAAGTATTTCAACACCATGTTGTATGCATTATGGTTAATTTTGCAATCAGCTTTTCTTTTCTTTTCTTTTCTTTTTTTTTTTTGAGATGGAGTCTCACTCTGTTACCCAGGCTGGAGTGCAGTGGTGTGATCTCGGCTCACTGCAACCTCTGCCTCCCAGGTTCAAGTGAGCCTTCTACCTCAGCCACCTGAGTAGCTGGGATTACAGGCACCTGCCACCACGCCCAGCTAATTTTTGTATTATTATTATTTTTTTTTTTTTTAGTAGAGACGGGGTTTCACCATGTTGGCCAGGCTGGTCATGAATTCCTGACCTCAGGTGATCCACCCGCCTCGGCCTCCCAAAATGCTGGGATTACAGGTGTGAGCCACCACACCTGGCCGTGATTAGCTTTTCTACACATACATTCCATTCTTTCTCTGTGGAGATAGAAATCTTAACACTGTCACCTGCTTTGATCAAAAGAGGCACTTGCTTACAAAGGGAGGTAACCTGAGTGCATGGTAAAGGTATAGCAGAAGTAAAATTGCATTAAAACTCCTAATCTGAGGCAACATGGTGGGGATTGGTGCAAACTAAAAGGAGCACTCTATCCCATCTGCTTTCAGAAAAAGCTCAGAGCTCTCCCATTCCTTTGAAAACAGAGATATCCCCTTTTCTTTGAGTGGAGGAAAAATCTTCATTCCCAAAAGGAGGTGTTGCTGTCATTGGTCACATTTTGTGATATTTCATTGGCCAATGTAGGAGTGAGTGTCATGGATGAAGGCACTGTACATTAAAAGATAGGCTTGTCCCTGTTTTGGCACTTCCTTACCTCTCTTACTAACAATTCTAGATGTTTTTTCTTTCCCCATGGAATGGGAACCTGGCTGGCCTAAGAAAGCTTGGGGCGGAAAATTTAGGTCAGCTTCATTCTAGCATTGGGCCAGAGCTCTCATTCTCTGGCTCTCTCTGGAAGTTTGGATTGGCTTTTGGTCTCTCCAGGGTGATAAAGTTGAAAGCTTAGGTTTGGGGGAAGAAACAAATGACACCAGGACTCTCTGCTTTGATTCTAGGCAGAGCTCACTCAGGCAGGACCTGGCCCAGCTCAGGTAGGTGCATTGTGTTTTAGGGGCTGAAGTCTCAGCTAAAAACAAACTGTTGCTTGGCTTTGCATGTTATTTCTCCATGCATATATTGCTTCTGGGGGTCTTGTGGGGAGGTAAGACTACTTGAGGACAGAATGTGCACATTCTAAAAATTTCTGGCCCAAATACCGTCAAAACACCCAAGTGAATAATCATCTTTTCATGTCACTCCAATCTATAATTTCTAACAAGCATAGATTCTAACATTGCTTCCTCTACTATTTGCTGTGCAACCTTGAGCAAATTGTTTTTTTCCAAAAGATTTTATTTTCAATGATAAAGCTAGGAGATTGGCCAAAAATAATGTTGGCCTGATACTAATAGATATGTTATTTAGTCAACATTTATTTTAACAGACATGTATTAAGTCCTGACTATGTGCAAGGTACTGTGGAGAGTGTTGGGGTCACCAAAACAAACAAATCATGGCTTCTGCTTTCAGTCTAGGGAGAGGCAGGTCCACAAAATATGGTGCCTAAACACAACCATAAGCAAATTGACCCAATGGACCCGTGTCTCGTTATAGGGAACATTCAACAAGAGGTGGCTGAGTGAAGGGGGTCATGAGTTGGTAGAAAAGAGACCCTCTAAAAGAGAATTAGCTTTGTGACTAGTAAGAAAAAAAAATAGAGAAAGACAAGGATACCCATGGAGGAAAATGGTGTCCAATAAACTCTTTGTATTCCATGAAGAATATGTGCATATGAAGCATGTCCTTTTATTCTCGTGCTTTGGTATCTTGGGGCCTTGCCTGTCCTGAAGAGATTGCCCCTTCCAGGGCTAGCCAGCTCCTGGAGAGAGTAAAGGACTTGTCTGTATGTAAGTGCACCTTTCAAATGCAAACCAACCAATCCAGAGCCCATTCTCCCTATATTGGTCTATTACACTCAGGGCCACCTTCCACCTAGCCTGATCACCCCAAGACCAGCCACCAGACAACTAGGGAGAGCCCCTGTGTGCCAGAGCCCACTGGAATTATTCACACTAGCCAATCCTAATCCTGCTTACAATGCCTCCCACAAAACCATAGTCAAAGCTGTGATTTGTCACATTTCCCCTCACTCCCTCCTCCCCCTGACCCACCTGGTGCTTCTCTGGGTGCCCTCCTCTCCCACGGCATGGTGTTCCTCTCCTCTCAGGCTCTGACTGTAAAACAAACTATCTTTTCAATGACAGTTGTCTCATGATCAGTTGGCCTCACCATACGTGAATGATAATAAAACCTGCATCTTAAAACATCCAAGTGGAAGGTTATGAAAGGCCACAGGGAAAAGAAAACACAAGACACTAAAACCTCAGGAGAGAGAAAGAGTTTAACAGTGCAGCTGGAGAGAGTGTGGGCCAGGGGCCTGGTGGCAGGTGCCTGGACAACACAGGCCTCAGTTGCAGCCACTATGAATGAAGAGAAAAACACTTGAAAAAAGGAAGTTAGGTTTCAAGGGCAACTTCAGCTTTTATATCTCTTTTACTGCCTTATAGTTTGTTTTTTAAACTTTTAAAAGAAAAGTGTGATTTCCTTTTAAGTATGTTTCTATCTCCTAACCTTGTGGTCAGAATGCTGGCAAGAGAGTTGGCAGGCTTATTTGCACTATGTTCCAGATATTCCTGGGATTGTTAGGATAAAGAGAGGAGAAAGGGCTAGAGAAGGAAGAAGAATATGCTGACAATGGAAGTTTCCTGCCACCTGTCACTCTATCACACTAATGCTGTGTTCTTAAAAATGAAATCTGAACATGTGAGTCTCCTATTTTAAACATACTGATTCCCACCACTGCAAAATCTAGAATACAAAGGCATTTACAATTTAGTTGAAACCTACCTTTTCAGCACCTCTACCCACTGGACCTTATTGAAGCTTCAATGGCATGAAATTTCTTTCTACGTCTTAAGCAAACTATGTCTTTATAACCAGGCGAGCACTAACTCAAGAACAACAGAGAAATGGGAACGTAATCCTGTATTAATAGATGCACAAAATCCTGCTCACTGCAAAAGCAGGGCTCTCTGATAAAAGCATGACTGGAAAACATGGTTCCTTTTGGGGCTGAATCTACCCTTACCTTTCATTACAAATATCTGATTGGTAACTTACATACTCAGGGGGCACTTGCAGACAGAGAAGAATATACCTAGGCCTGCAGAGCCAATGCCAAATCCCTTTAAGGCAACCGCCTTTCCAGACACAGCCAACATCCTTCACCTAGTCACTGGCAGGAAGAGGAGGCGAGGTGAGGAAGATGGCCAGGCATGCCTACACGATTTGCTACAGGGAGGCTTATGTGCAAAAGTCGTTAGGACTTTACCTACAGAACTTTCACAGGGCCCAGGGCTAAGACACTGCTCAGGGAATGCCAAGTTCTGATTTATTGGGACAGAGAGGGAATTTGTAAATATAGCTGTGGTCCTCCATCCCCTGCGTCTGGAAGGTATGGTAACACCTTTCTTCGAGTCTAAGAGTAAAACATGAGAAGGAATGCAGTGTTCTTCCTTATCCTCATCAGATTGGGCTTTCATTATTTTTTATATCTGTTTTCCCCTATGGCTCTCCTCCTGGATCCACTAACGCATAACAGAGTTAATGGCTGGCAATAATAAATTTCCATTTAGTGAGCAATGAACAAATGAATGAACGAACGGATTTTGTAGGTGATAGTATGTATCTGGACTTTTACAGTTCTATAATAAAGGCTAAAAAATAAAACATAATGATAAATAACTCTTCACACATAATCTCATTAAGTCCTCATAGCAACCTTGGGAAGTAGGGTTATTCCCATTTTCCTTATGAAAAAACTGAGGATCAGAGAGATCAATCAACCACCCAACTAGAATGTGACAATATTAGGACCAAGGCTCCACATCTTTCAGTTCCAAGTAGACAATACCAGAGCTGTCTGTCTAGTCTCACAGAGAAATTCATCACATGAAAATGAGGAGACAGTTAGGGAGGAAAAGGCAGGAGTATTTATGGCTATCAGATTTTACTACACTTAAGAATGAATTAAGATTTAGTAGTCAAAGATATAAATGATACCTACTCATTAGTAAGAAAAAGACACATAACATAAAAGAATGACGAGCAAAAGGTATGAACATGCAATTCACAAAAAAAAGAAAGATTTTCAGCTTGTCTAGGAATTAGGGAAACACAAATGAATGAGATGTTCTTAACCCATGGTTGGTAAAAATTTAAGAAGTTCTATAATATCAAGTGTTGGTAGGAGAGGGCAGAAATGCAGTGGGTGCCACCCTACATTCTTGATGGGAGCATCATGTAGTGTAGCCCTTTAGGAGACAATTACCAGTTTCTATTAAAACTCTTTTTTTTTTTTAAATGGAGTTTCACTCCATCACCCAGGCTGGAGTGCAGTGGCACAATCTCAGCTCACTGCAACCTCTGCCTCCTGGGTTCAAGGGATTCTCCTGCCTCAGCCACCTGAGTAGCTGGGATTACAGGCACCCGCCACCACCGCCTGGCTAATTTGTGTATTTTTAGTAGAGATGAGGTTTCACCGTGTTGGCCAGACTTTAGTAGAGATAAGGTTTTACCACGTTGGTCTCGAACTCCTGATCTCAAGTGATCTGCCCACCTTGGCCTCCCAAATTTATAAGATTAGAGGCATGAGCCACCGCGCCCAGCCCCAGTTTCTATTAAAACTTAAAATGTATATTTTCTATATGCTCAGCATTGGTCTAGCCCAGCAGTAGTCTAAAAGGTAGATTCTGTATATCTTGGGAATATGCAAGATTTATTGATTATCAGAGAAGATTTGATAACTTCTGTGTATGTTTAACTTCATGCCAGCCCTTTAAAGTTTTTGATGAGGGTCTGTTTTTGAGGAGTCAGCTATAAAGCACCATCTAGATGCCCTTTCAGGACTCAGCTGGCGGGGCAGTTGGCTACCAATGGCTCATGGTTGAGCAGCTCATAGGAGATTGCCCTTGGCCAAGAGATCTGTTCATCCTGGGCAGTGTGTATGCAATGACTGGTCAGTGTGTGGGTAGAAAGCCTAGTCCTGGCCTCAATTCTGGACAGCTCTGAAGGCCATCCTGGCTCCTGTGCTCCTGAACTCTGAATCCTCTGAGCTCTCTGTGGCATCCATACTGCAGTTCACCTTCCTCTCCACCCCATTCCACTCTCCCCAGTAAAGTTTCTGCATACAAATCTCAGAGCCCCAATGTCTGTGCTCTGGAGAACTGATCTAAAGCAGTTTCTTAATGTACACATTAGTGCAAAAGCAAGTATGTGTAATTTGCAAATACTTAAATGCACATATATTTTGGTGCATGGGCAAACATACTTTTTACTGATAGCGTGGCAGGATCAGAGAAGTTTAGAGATCAATATCTGTCATAGGTTGAATTGTGCCTCCCTGCAATTCATATGTTGAAGTTCTAAGCCCCAATATCTCAGAATGTGACTTTATTTGGAAATAGGGTCATTGCAGACTTAATTAGTGAAGTGAAGATGACATCATACTGGAGTAAGGTGGACTCCTAATCCAATATGATTGGTGTCCTTATAAAAAAAGGGAAATTTGGGCATAGAGACACACATCGGGGTAATGGGAATATCATGTGGATGTTGGAGTTATGCTGCCACAGCCAAGGACTTACTGGAAGCTAGGAGAGAGGCTTGTAAATGACCCTTTACAAGCAGATTCAGAGGGAGCACGGCCCTGATAATACCTTGGCCTTGAACTTCGGCTTCCAGAATTGTGAGAAAATAAATGTAAGCCCCTCAGTTTGTGGTGCTTTGTTACAGCAGCCCTAGCAAACAAATACAATGCCTGAGAGCAACTCACATATATGCATAGGGATGTGTTCTTTGCAAACGTGTAATAGCAGAATACAATTATAAACAAGGTAAATGTTTATCAGTAGCCAAATAAAATATCACATATTCATATTATGAATATTTAGTTTAAAAAAAGTGGTAGATCCCATTATACTGACACTGAACATTCACCAGTAACTTACAGAATTAAAAAAGGAAGGTGCTGAATGACAAGCATAGAACAATATCATTTAACTTACGTTGAAGAAACGCAAAAAAATACTATATCCTTCAATACATTTGTCTGTGAATATGAATATATAGAAAAACCACTGGAAGGTTGTGCTCTAAATCTGTGACATTGTTTGCCTCTGGGGAAAGGGTTAGAAACTGGAGGGTTGTTAAAGGAGTTCTTTCTTCAATAGTAATATTTACATTTTCAGCCAGGTTTGGTGGCTCACAGCTGTAATCCCAGCACTTTGGGAGGCCGAGGTAGGCAGATCACGAAGTCAGGAGTTTGAGACCAGCCTGGCCAACACGGTGAAACCCTGTCTCTACTAAAAATACAAAAATTAACTGGGCGTATTGGTGGACGCCTGTAATCCCAGCTACTTGGGAGGCTGAGACAGGAGGATTGCTTGAACCTGGGAGGCGGAGGTTGCAGTGAGCTGAGACCGTGCCATTGCACTCCAGCCTGGGCAACCAAGCAAGATTTTGTGTCAAAAAAACAAAACAAAACACACACAGAGTAATATTTAAATTTTAACAAGAGAATATATTCATGTATTTATTTTATAATTAAAAATTAATTAAAAAAATAAACAAAAATCATCTAGGGACTGTAACATGTGATCCTGGAGGGAATTCTGGAACAGAAAGAGACATTAGGTGAAAACTAAGAAAATGTGAATAAACTATGAACTTTAATTAATAATAATGTATCATTATTAGTTCATTACTTGTAACAAATGTATCATACTAATGCAAGATGTTCATAATAGGGGAAACTGCGCAAGGAGTATGTGAGAATTCAGCACTAGCTTTTCAGTGTTTTTGTAATATCTAAAATTGTTCTAAAAAGTAAAGTCTATTCATTAAAAAAATTCATTTAGGGCAGTTGAGTTAATATGATGTAGATCTCTGGGCTTCGTCTCCAGAGATTCTAACTCAATAGATCTGGGGTGAAGCCCAGTCATTTTCATTCTTATTAAGCCTCCCAAGGTGGTTCATTGCTTTGGGTTACCACAGGCAAAGAAAGAATCAAAGAAAATGCAACCACACTCATTTGGTTAACACAGCTGATTACTAAAGTCTCTTCCCAGCTCTGATGGAGAAGAAAGGAAGGGGCAGCGGTGGTGAGGAGCCTGTTTCCACTCTGGGACGGCTGGTCCAGAAAACCCTAAGCCCCAGTGTAAGGCTGGGCTCAGGGGAGCAGCCCCAAGAAGCCGCCAGGACAGGAGGCCGCCGCCCTCACTACCCATTGCTATCATTTGGTGTATAGTTGTCCTGCGGTTTTTAGCTGTATTTAGGGAATTTGTATTACCCTAAGTTAAAATGTTTTTCTTTCCCTTAAAATTTTTATGTGTAACTTGAAAAGATGGCCTATTTTGACATGAGGTCTGTCTGCCCAGGAGGTAAATTCTGGCCTCTTTCTGAATTATGTAAATGGTCTTTCCCACCCTCCCCAGTCCACACACCACTCAATTCATTGATCCTCATTTGTGTTTCCAAAAGTCTTTACCCATCCACTATTATGATAGTTACTATAACAGATTGTAAGTGTGTGGTTATGTGGGCTTCCATTACCAGCCTTCTCATCTTGGTAAACCAAGGAGTTTGGCTTCATATGAAGCACACGTTATTCTCTTATTTATTCATTCTACAAGCATTTGTTGAGAGACTCTCATGCGCTGGCATTCAGGAGGTACTGAGAAGACAGTTTTCTAACAGTCTCTGCCCTTAGAAGTTTATACTCTGGTAAAACCGGTCATTGTTAGTTGGACTGAATTGTCTCTTCTGCCTCTACAATCTGATAAATGAAGTCGCAGTAAAGTGTGGTAAGTTATTTTAATTGTAAAATAAGACCCCTCTAGAACAGTGTTTAACATAGAAGGACTCAATTCCAAGAGTAGACTTTTAGATACTCCTCAAAACATACTATATTGAGCACTAAGATTTTGACTATGCCTAATGCCAGCCCTTGGAAACAACTGTTTCCAAATTGGTTTCGTGCTATCTGAACTTCACTGCCAGCTGCCACCATTGCCCAGCCAGATTGGGGATCCCATGGCCATAGAGCGCCTGGCGGCACTAGGACCAACATCAACATGTGTGTGGCTTCAGGGACCCCAGCCTCATTTTGGGAGAGTACACTGCACACACTAGGACTTTTGCTTTTGAAGCAGTTAGCATAGAGTTTCCAGAAGGAAGGAGGAAAAAAATCCACCATCTGTACTCTCATTTATCTTACCCTTAAAATGGAAGGAAGTTGGTAAACAAGAAAGAAAGCCAGAAAACTAAGGAAGGAGGAAGCAAGCTAGAATATTGATGTCAGGGGATAATTTTAGATGGACGACACAGCTGGAGTCTATGGGAACTGTTCAAAGGCCTGGATTCAGGAACAGAAAAGAGGAGAGAGGGGAGGAGGAAGGAAGAAACAGGGCAAAGGGGCTGGAGTGGAAAGAGTTGGAGGTGGATGATGAATGGTGGAGGGAAGGGAGCAATAGCTGGCACTTCTTGAGCAGTATGGTCATAACGTCCTCATATCTCACTTAATATACATGTCAGTCTTTGAAATGAGAACATTGAAGCTTGACTACTCTAAGCTGCCAAGTCCCCTGGAAGGCCAAGCAAGGATTCACCTCAGGTGTGCTCAATACCCGAGGCCACAGTCTTAAGGACTGCAGGCACTGCCCCTGGAAGGAGAGAGGAGAGCAGCTCCTATCTTTCCTGCTTTATGCTAACACGGACAACTTAGGGGCCACCTGCGCGCTGGAGCTCTGCAGTCCAGATGTCAGTTGCATTCAGGTATTTGCAAGGTCTTTGCAGCTATGACCCACAGAGTCTATGCAGGGACATTGCCTGGCCTCATATTTTCCCAAATTTTTTTACTTAGTAGCAAGACCTTTGCTAGTCTAGACAGTGACTTTGTGCAAATTTGAAAATGGCAGCTCCTAGGGGTGGACCAATTAGGAAAGACATCCCTTCCTTGGAGTCTGGGCCCTCAGCCCCAGGCAGGGCACAGGGCTGGGCTGGTCCTGACTGGGTTTTTATATTTATGCACAAATTGCACAGCCATTTATGGGACTGGTAGTACTCATTTGAGCAGCGAGAGGGAGAACACGGATGCCAGGTGGCTGGACCGAGATGTCCACCATGCTGTAGGGCAGCTCTGATTTTCTCTGTAATGGAGAAAGTAAACCATATCAGGCAGTAACGCTCCTCTTTTAATATCGGGTATTGCATTATTCAAAAGCACTTTGATTGGGAAGCTGTTCTCCCCCACTCCTATAAATCAGTTGACCAGAGCATAAATTGACCTTCAAAAGGTAGTTAGAAATGAATTTTTTCCTTTAAAAAGGAAGAAAAAAAGATGAAGTGCTAACCACAAATCTTCACAATGGAATACTAAGGAAAGATAGATAGTAATAATAAATAGTTAAGCCTTTGTATTGATATTATGCCTCTCTGTGAGTGGTTCCAAACCTCTTTCTGTATTTTTCAATGTGCTTGTGCCTCTCAACTGGCCTGTGAGACAGGGTGGGCAGGTATTATAATCCCCATTATTACAAGAACAGACACAGAAAAATGAAATGCCTTGTATAAGCTCACATAACACATTAGCCTCTGAGAGAGACTAGAACTCCAGCCTCCTCGTGCCCATCCCTGGAAAGATCGTGGTGCTGCAAAATGACCCAAAATGGCAGAGCAGAAACCAAGATCTAAGACCCTAGTCTGTTTGGGGATGAGCAGGTTTAGCAGCTGAAATGAATGATGTTCCCTTTATAATTATTAATAAACTCAGTGTGTCCGTCGTGGAGCCTCCTCTAAAACAGACTTCGCTGCTCACCCTACAGCACAGCACCAGCTCATAGCAAAAGCAGATGACACAGAGCAACGCGTCTCTCCAGGGAGGGCACCTCAAATGCCTCAGTGCCCGTTAATAATGATAACTATTTCCTTAGGAACTTACTGTTTCTGGGGAACTGTGCTAAACATCGCATGTAATTTACTTTTCAAAGCTCTTATCACAACCTTACGAAGAAAGCCTCATTATCCCCATTGAACAGGGACCTTAGAGGACTTGTCCACGTCTGTGCAGCTGCTTAAACAGCAATGCTGAGACTCAAACCTACAGCTATTGCTGAACTCCAAAGACAAGGGTCTCAACCACTGTCCTATGCTCTCTCTGATCAGTGTGTTGCTAAAATGTAAACACCCATCCTTCTCCATACCTTTGGGAATACTAACAAATGCTGCTGTCTATGAATGAAATGAATTTAGTTCGCAAGCAACATTTTAAATGAAACAGACCAGACTAGACTACACAGTATCAGTGCACCCCAGGTAATAAGGATAGTTATTATTTTTTGAAATGTGTATATGTACACAGACTACTGGGTGGTGATGTAAAGTGTATTTATTGCAGGTCACAACAGAAAAGTCTGAGAAGCACTGATTTAAGGGACCACTCCTCTATCACTTTGTTTCCTCAAGTTTGCCTTCTCCCCATTCACAGCCACTTCAAAAAGACACCCTGCATCTTGGGATAAACCTATGTGGTATTGGTGACATTTTTCCTAAAAGTGACAGCAAAAATGAAAAATCATCCTTTCAACTCCACATGCTTCCTGAGATTTAGTTTATTTAATTTTTGGGGGTTGCATGTGGGCCTTGTGTTGCTGGAGCTGCTTGTAGGGTCTGTGTGTCCTGAAGTTGAGGAGGCAAACCTAGAGTCCACACATAGGGTCTGTGGGCAAAACAGGGAGAGCAAGAGGCTAAAGCATCAGTAATGCAATTATTTTCACTTACAGAAGGCTAGGAACTTGCAAGAGTGGAAGGGGAAATTTTAAACTTTTAAATCAAGGCCATCAGAGGTATTTGTTTGGTGAGCAGATTTGTTTCTGAGCTAAGACTACCAAGAGCCCAAAATGCACTGTCAATGTGATTCAAGGGTGCCCAGTGTATGCCCCAAAGTTCTCTCTCCTACTATCATCAAGTTTAGCCACACTGGCCCCCAGCTGCAGATGAAAAAGGAGAAGCAAAAGTCCCAGTGTGAGGAAAGAGGCTAGGTTCAGACACGTATGTCTCTAAGAGGACACTCCTATTACCTCCACCCAGTCCTCCATTTTCAGAGTTCTAGGGACAGTAGGGACAGTAGGGTGACAGTAGGGAAAGAAATGTGAATGTATCAATATTGGGCAGAGGCAAGGATTTGTTGGGGGGCAGCTAGACCAGGTACAATACTCCCCACTCCTTCACGACTTCATTAGTCAGCTCATGTTACCATAACAAAATACCTCAGGCTGGATGGCTTAAACAATACAAATGTATTTTCCGCACAGTTCTGGGGGCTAGAAGTCCAAGATCAAGGTGCAAGCATGGTCAGGTTCTGGTGAGGGCTCTCTTCCTGGCTTGCAGATGGCCGCCTTCCTGCTGTGTCCTCACGTGGTCGAGTGAGTGAGCTCTCTCCTGTCTCTTCTTAAAAGGACACTAATCCTATTGGATCAGAGCCCCACCTTTATAACCTTAGTTAACCTCAGTTATTTCCATAAAGGATCCATCTCCAAATATAGCCACATTGGAGAGTCAGGAGAGCTTTAACATAGGAATTTACATAGGCGCTTTAACATAGAGCTTTAACATAGGAATTTGTGAGAGTCACAGTTCAGCCCATAGCACCCCATTTCAGAACATATCCTGGCCCACACTGACCCATTTGTCCTTTTTCCACAGCAGCCAAGATTCCTAGGTACCCTGCCTGCTGAAAGTAGGTATTTTTCTGAGAGGAGAAAGTTGTCACAGAGGCTAAAACTGTCCCCATTTGCAGGGAGGGAGGCTCAATGTGGTAGGCTGAGGAGAACTACCTGATTCTGTTTGTGGATTTCCTGTTGATTTCCCATCCAGACAGCCATCATTTTGTTTTCCCCGTGACTAAGATGGAAAATTAAAATAAAACCTCACACACATACATTACACAGGTGTTGGGAGGGTAGGATTACAGGGGTCTTTCAGTTCCTAAATCATACGTTTCATGAATGCTTGAATTTTTCACCAATGTCATGTATGATTTTGTGATTTAAAAAAAGGTAACACTTTATAACAACAGCATACAAACACGTGTAGTAACAGCACAAGGATTCACTGAGTAAATATACCAGGGTGATGAAAGCTCTTGGCTCACATTCTGTAAAGTGCTATCAAATGGTGGAATATGGAGAAAGGCAGACAGCTAATAGAGTTTCATTTCTGTTTGATTGCATGATTTCAGAAAGGAGAGTGAAAAGACAGCTTCTCTACACAGGAAAGTCTGGAGAAAAAGCTAGCTATGTTTTAAGGCAGGGAAGTAGCCCACATGGACTTTTGACTAAAGGTGAACTTGGACATGATCTGTGCTAGACATTTCTAGAACCTTCCAGACTCTGCAAAGTCCCTGGATGTGCTGTCAGTTGATTAGGTAGGAGCAGGGTTCTCAGGATGCAGTTCCACACCTGACTCTCTTTCCCATCCCACGAAGGGTGGCTGAAATCTGTGACCACTCTCAACTGCGTCCTAAGTACAAACAAAGCGTCCTTTCAGTTGAGAAAGCCATTTGCAGACACTGGGGTGGAAATGCAGCCTGGAACGACGAAAGGGCTTTATTAGAGCCCTAGTGTGGGTAGGGGGAGGCCGCTGGGCCCTGGCTTTATTAAACTGTAGCTCTTCCCTGCTGCCACCTCGATATTGCCAGGGCTATTGTTAGTCTGAATGAAGAGCACACAGGGCCGAGGGGAAAGCTTTAAAGAGGAAAGATGAGTCCAAATCAGGGAAGGAGAGCCTCTGCCTACCAATGCACAGAAATGCTTATAACTAATGTCATATAAAGCACACACATTACAAAGAAACACAGACCCAAGGGCTGGGATTGATGGGGTTGCTGGGGAACTGGGCCGCGCTCAGCTGCAGCCGGCACTTGAGTCCCATGTCTGAAAACAGGGCTCCCTTGTGGATTTTGAGAAATAACAAAGCTCTGGCTTTGAGGGGCTTCATTCCCTTTGAGGTTTCCAGCACTTATCTGCCAAGAGCTGTGGATCCTTTCAGCAAGGATACCACTGGCAACCCAAGGCAGCTCTTGGGTTCTGGGGTGTTTTCCTACAGAAAAATCCTCGCTCTGTTGCTGTGACCTCCTCACCAAGCAACAAAGAGCAAGAGCCCATCCAAGTGCACAACCCCAGGAGGGGAAAGGCTCTGCAAGTTCTGAAGGATCCAGAAGGGTCTCACCAACCATCCCATGCTGTCTCTGTCCCCTGGGCTCCTTTGACTCCTTTCTTCTGGTCTGTTGGCTCTGAGGAGTGTGTGAACTACATATAATCCAGGACTGTATGGTCTCAGCATCCTGCAACAGGGTCATGGATGGGCCAGGGCCAGTACCAGCAGGGAGCTTTCTCTGCAGGCAGCATGGCCAATGACAGCACAGTGGGGCCCCAGGGATCTAGCTGAGACTAGAAGTCGATGATTCCTGGACTCTGGCTGAGAAAGCCAAGCGTGGCCAGAGCATGTAGGAAACAGGAATGGAAACCATGAGCTTTCCCAAAGGCATTAGTTTCCTGAGGCTGCTGTAACAAATTATACCAAACTGGGTGGCTTAAACAACAGTCACTTATTCTCTAGTTCTGGAAGCTATTCTATTCTCTGGTTCTAGTTCTGGAAGCTAGAAGTCCAAAATCAAGTTGTCCACAGGGCCATACTCCCTCTTAGAGCCTCTAGGAGAAAATCCTTCCTTGCCTCTCCCAGTGTCTGATGGCTCCAAGGTTGCCTTGACTTGTAGATACGTCACTCCAATCTTTGCCTCCATCTTCACATCACATTATGCGTGTGTTTTTGCCTCTTCTGTGGGTCTCACAACACTCTCTGCCTTCCTCTTATAAGGACACTTAAGGGCAAAGATTGGAGTGATGAAGCCACTAGTCAAGGCGAGTCTGGAGCCACCAGACACTAGAAGAGGCAAGGAAGGATTTTCTAGAGAAAATGTGGGGAACCCTGCTGTCATCGTCCATTTGTGCTGCTATAACCAAATACCATAGATAGGTGGCTTGTAATCAACAAAAGTGTATTTCTCATGGTTCTGGAGGCTGGGAAGTCCAAAATCAAGGCACCAGCATATTTGGTGTCTGGTGAGGGTCCACTTCCTGGTTCATAGATGGCCTTTTGGCTATGTCCTCACATGATGGAAGGGTTGATGAGTATCTCTTGGGCCTCTTAGAGCACTAATCCCATTTATGGGGCCTCCACCTTCATGTGTCTAATCACGGCCCCAAAGCCCCACCTCTTGATAACATCACCTTTAAAGTTAGGTTTCCACATATGAATGTTGGGAGGATCACAGACATTTAGGCAATAGCACCTGGTACGGTCATTCTGTCAGAAGGCAGGGACTGTCTCCCAGCTTCACAGGGAAGAGAATCAAGTGCACTTGCTCCTACTTTTCAATGTCCTGCTTCCCAGGAGAGGCCACAGAGACAAGCGAAACCAGCCAAGGAACTCCAGGGGCCACAGGTGAGATTTCAGAAAGAGGCTGGCTAGAAGGGAATTTTCTAGGTCCATCTCACTGAAAACAGTCCAGCAATGTAAACACCCCTTTTCAAATCTCACTGTTATAGACTCCAGAGGAGCCTCCGTGAACCAAATGGGGTAGAGTCAAGAGCTCTGGACTAATTAGCAGTTAGCAGATCTTGGTTCTAGGTCGAGTTTTGCCACTCTGTCATTCGTGACTTTGGACAAGTCACTTTACCTCTCTGAGCATCAGGTTTTCTCGTGGTAAAATGGAAGTAATAATGCCTGAAAGAATCATGCTTCCTTAAGGTGCAAACGGGGCTGTGAAAGTGCTTGTCAAACTGCAAGTGCCAAGAAGACATGGGAGCATGGAGGCAGCATGGTTTCTAGGGTCCGGTGGGTGCATTGCAGCCTGAGTTTGCATCTTCCCTAAGCATGCGCATTTAACAGTGGGCTTCTGCCTGCTAGTAGCTACACAGATATAACTCTTCTGACAGGCTTTCCCTGTGGACTCGCTTGCTGCTGCAAACTGTTCCCTCTGCTTTGATTTTAAATTGCTTATTTGAACCCATGTTCGCAAATAGGGAAATAGTTCAAGCAGTTGCAGAAGATGGCACTTGGGGGTGTGGGTGGGATGAAGTTGTGGTGGGGTTGGTGCCTCAAGTATTACCCTGGTCACTGGGAAAGGAGTACCAAGCTGCTCAGAGGTTTGCCCCAGTGGGCCTGCCTTCCAAGCAGGGCTCCAGCACTGTAGCCTTCCCCCTGAGCCTCTCCTGGCCTGGGTCCCTACTGGAGACACGTGGCTTCAGGGCCTTGCTTCTAGACTCACACTGGGCTGAAAGGACAGAGCCATGGCTGTCCCTCTGGGACTAGAGGGCTGGTCCTTGACTCCACCAACTCTCAGTTTTCCTGATTGTATGGATTTTCAGGGACCTGAGCTGATGGAGCACCCAAAACCTGAAAAAAAAATTGAAAAGAAGCAAAAGGAAGGGAGAAATGGTGGAGACTGGAGACCACCTCCTGTTAGGTTTAAGGGCAAATGTGCTAGATTTGAATTGATGTGGGGAGGTATTCACAGTTTGCCGGAATATAATGTAAGATGAAGCTACTTCTCTGCATGCACTTAAAACCCAACAGGACCCTGTTTACACAATATCTCCTTTCTTTTTTGTCTCAGTTATATTTATTGAGCTCCTAGCCTATGCCGGGTACAGTGCCAAGCAATTAATAAATATTATCATGTAATCTGCATGAAATTCCATGAAATAGACATTTTATTCCATTTTACATTTGAGAAAAACAAAATTCAAAAAAGACAAGTAACTACTTGTTCTGAGTCACTGGGTAGGTAGGTGGTGAAGCCAGGATAGGAAACTCACTCTTCCTGACTACCTAGACCCTGAGCTTTCTACTTAACGCTATATCAGCCACCCTGTGCCCCACTTCCTTGCTCTCTTTCTTTGAAAGTTACCAAAAGGTCATGATCATTGCATTGTTTAAACTAACAAGATTTGAAAGTGTGCACTCAAAATTGGTTCAGTCAAGAGTCACTAAATTCTTGCTGTTATGTCAGGCATTGTGCTAGCGTGGAGACATGGTGAGCCACACAGAAAACTAGAGAGTGAGCCCCCCTTCCCCATTGCATGCATTTCCTCTTCTGTTAGGGCTGCCCCCTGAGGAACATAACCTGGACAAGTGCAGGCCGAGAAGATTAAACCTAAACTTCTTTCCTCTACCATCAGAATAGTAATGGGCCTTTTAGGAAAATATGTGATATCATTACAGATGAAATACAGAATTCTCCAGTGGCCAGAGTGCCAGAAAACCTGGGTAGTTGCACTAACTTTGCCACTAAATAAGTGGAATGACTCCCTGGGCCTATTTCCCCATCTGTGCAACCAGAGGTTTAGGCCGTATCATGTCTAGGTCCTTCTCATCTCCAGCACTTCATCAGTGCATCTGAGTTCCTTATTTCAATCCTGTTTCTAGACAAATGAATCCTGAGACCCATTTTGAAAGTTTAAGGTGTTGACTTGTGTTTCTCATCCTAGGCCCTAGGTTCTCCCAATGATATACTACTTAATCTATTGTGCTTGTTTCTCTGCCCCGATTCATTTGTCATTTGCAGACACTTTACCTTTGTCATTATTAGTAATATTCAATTCTGTAAGAGACATGCCCACATCCAAAATCTAGAGGTATACTTAATTACAAACTATATGCTTCCCTTGGAAAACAATAAACAAATCAAGGAACTGCAAGTTGAATCCTTCTTTCAATGTAGTAGGCAGCTTGTATTTTTATAAAGAGAGAATAAAAAAATGGATGTGACATATTTCTGTTTGGTAAATCTGTATTTTTATACATTCAGTTTACTTTAGCATGAGCCGCAGACAGTTTTTCAAAACCTACTCCAGTTGGTATAGTTTGTTTAAGATAGGGGCCAGGCCCAAAAGTTTTATTTTGTTTTGTTTTGTTTTCCTAGAAACTTGAAGAAAGGCATTTCTCTCTTCTTGGTGATTTACTGACTACATGTCCATACTCACTCTGTGCCAAGTATATAAATTAGACCATTTCTAATTCTTAAACAATCCTTCAGGAACAGCTATTGTTGCACCTATTTTATGGATGAGGAAATAGGAGCTTAGGGAAGGTACAACAGGCAGACATGGTCCTTTGGATGGAAAGCCGCAGATGTGAGATTCAATCTGAGTTCAGTCTGACTTCAAATAGTTACACTTTCTCCACCACAAACACTGCATGGAAGGGAGAAAAAAGATGGAATGATATCCAGATGGGTTAAAGCATGCCAGGGATACACAAGGAGAAAGTGGTTTCTGAAAGGCTTTCTCCACGAAACATGGAGGAAGAGTAGGCTAACACCAGCTCACATCATGATGCCTTTCTATGAATTAGAAAATGATACCTCTTCCTGGTAAGTGCAGCCTAACATGCAAACAGCTTGATGAGTGCAGAAGGGGCTGATTCTACCACCCCTCACCCAGCCACACCCTGACCTAGGGAACAAATTGTGCACAGCTACCCTATGGCTGGAGGAAGAGAGGCACAAGGACCTGAATGTGTGTGCAGACCAGAAGAGGATTGCATTATTTATTATTAGTAGCATTTATGATCTTCCAGTGTTTATACTTCTCATTCTCTTTTCTTTTGCAAATAGTGTAATGGGCAGGGGAAACTATTCCTACTGTCAAAGAGGTTTAACTCTATTTCTGGAGCCAAGTTCGGTTAGAGAGACTAACCGCACTTCCCAGGGCTGGCCTGGCTGAGAGCCAGTGCAGAAGTAATGCATCATTCTTATTGTGACTAACTTGTCCCAAAGAAAGTTCAAGTTGACTTATCTTAACAGTATTCACGTCTAATAACTTGGGGCCAATCTGATTTGCACCTTTGACTGGCTGCCGATTCTGTTTCTTCACCTCCACTGCTTTTGCCTCTTCTAGGTCTCTGTTTAAATTAATTAATCTGTGATATTGGACTTTGGTTAATAATAATAATATAAAGATAAAGATGAAGGAGGAGGAAGAGAAGAAGGAAACAAAATCATTAGGACTAAAATTATATAGCTCCATTACAAATGGGGGGATGAAAGAAGAGAGTAGGGAGTGCTAGGAAAGAGAAAGGTATTTTCTTTTTTTAATTTTATTTATTTTTTATTATTATACTTTAAATTCTAGGGTACATGTGCACAACGTGAAGGTTTGATACATAGGTAAACATGTGCCATGTTGGTTTGCTGCACCCATCAACTCATCATTTACATTAGGTATTTCTCCTAATGCTACCCCTCCCCCAGCCCCCCAGCCCCTGACAGGCCCCAGTGTGTGATGTTCCTTGCACTGTGTCCAGGTGATCTCATTGTTCAATTCCCATCTATGAGTGAGAACATGTGGTGTTTGGTTTTCTGTCCTTGTGATAGTTCACTGAGAATGATGGTTTCCAGCTTCATCCAAGTCCCTGCAAAGGACATGAACTCATCCTTTTTTATGGCTGCATAGTATTCCATGGTATATATATGCCACATTTTCTTAATCCAGTCTATCATTGATGGACATTTGGGTTGGTTCCAAGTCTTTGCTATTGTGAATAGTGCTGCAATAAACATACATGTGCATGTGTCTTTATAGTAGCATGATTTATAATCCTTTGGGTATATACCCAGTAATGGGATTGCTGGGTCAAATGGTATTTCTAGTTCCAGATCCTTGAGGAATCGCCACACTGACTTCCACATGGTTGAACTAGTTTAGAGTCCCACCAACAGTGTAAAAGTGTTCCTATTTCTCCACATCCTCTCCAGCATCTGTTGTTGCCTGACTTTTTAATGATTGCCATTCTAACTGGCGTGAGATGGTATCTCATTGTGGTTTTGATTTGCATTTCTCTGATGGCCAGTGATGATGAGCATTTTTTCATGTGTCTGTTGGCTGCATAGATGTCTTCTCTTGAGAAGTGCCTGTTCATATCCTTTGCCCACATTTTGATGGGGTTTTTTTTTTTCTTGTAAATTTGTTTGAGTTCTTTGTAGATTCTGGATATTAGCCCTTTGTCAGATGGGTAGATTGCAAAAATTTTCTCCCATTCTGTAGGTTGCCTGTTCACTCTGATGGTAGTTTCTTTTGCGTGCAGAAGCTCTTTAGTTTAATTAGATCCCATTTGTCTATTTTGGCTTTTGTTGCCATTGCTTTTGGTGTTTTAGACATGAAGTCCTTGCCCATGCCTATGTCCTGAATGGTATTGCCTAGGTTTTCTTCTAGGGTTTTTATGGTTTTAGGTCTAACAGTTAAGTCTTTAATCCATCTTGAATTAATTTTTGCATAAGGTGTAAGGAAGGGATCCAGTTTCGGCTTTCTACATATGGCTAGCCAGTTTTCCCAGCACCATTTATTAAATAGGGAATCCTTTCCCCATTTCTTGTTTTTGTCAGATTTGTCAAAGACCAAATGGTTGTAAATGTGTGGTGTTATTTCTGAGGCTCCTGTTCTGTTCCATTGGTCTATATATCTCTTTTGGTAGAGAAAGGTATTTTCACAAAGAGAAGGAGGCGTCTTAGAACTTCAAAGAAAACTCAAATTTGGCACATATTATCACATGTACTAGTAAGAACAGCCTTGTCAGATACGTGTTAGCAGATGCCCATTTTACAGAGGAGCAAACTGAGATTAGCAGGGTTAAATAACTTGTTCAAGGCACCTGGTATCCAGGTTTACACTCAAGTGTTCTGATTCCAAGTGCAATGAGTAGAGGAGGAAAGAGAATTCAGGGAGACTATGAGATTTCCTCAACCATATAAAGTTGAAGTATTGGTTCTCTCTCTCTCCCCATCTTCCTTTCTCTAATAATAGATCTGTTGTCCAATGTGCATGGCAAATCAATACAATGAGACACTGAGTTGCAGCAGAGATAAAGCTTTAAATGTAGGGCTGCCAAACGAGGAGACAAGATGAAACCTCAAAGCTGTCTCCCAGAGAAGCTTGAAGCTAGGGATTTTAAGGGTTTTGGAATGGGCTGAAGAGTGGTATCATTGATTGGCTGAAGAGTGCAAGGTGACGTCTTGGGACAGGGAGATGAAGAAACTGTATCCTCTTGCTGATTCAGTTTATCTGTAGGGGTTTCAAACAGATTGGTATCACCTGTTCCATGGGAATTCACAATCTGTTTAAGCAATTCTTAAGCAAAAGCCCTATAAACCTCATGTCAGAAATCCTAACTATAGGAACAATGGGATGCAAATGGACAGCATCTAGTGTATTGTGACTTTCAGTTACAAGGAAGTGTGTCAAAGTGCAGCCTGATTAATGCTTAATTATAACTATATTTATGTACAGAATTCTTGAGGGTGGCTTCCATGAGGATGGCTTCAACTGTACACAGCTGCAGAGACAGGAATCTGCAGTCAGCCCACCCAGTACTGAGGCTGATGACACCGCTATCCATCCACTTGCAGATTTTTAGCAACTTGGGGATAGGACCCAGTGCAGAATTTGGCATTGATAGGTGTTTCATAAGTGTTTGTTTAAGGAATAGGTGAGTAAAGTTATGCATCGATAAAAATAAATAAATTGTATTGTAAATATGGGGAAAATAGTTGTGTGGGTGCCAACAAGCAGGAAAGGGATTATGGGGAGAGGAAGGGGAAATTGGGAGCCATGAAGCCTACAGGGGAAATTAGCTCATCTGTCCAGCTGCAGAAAGTGCCTCCTGTAAGTAAGAGATAGGAAATAATCAGAAACTTTTAGCATCAAATTGAGACATGTGGAAAAACCTATCAAGGCCACTGAGTCAGAGTTGTGGCTGAGATGGAGGCACAGTTCTGATCTTTGTTAGAAAAATCCCATAAGTAGTTTGGAGGACACTAAGCAATTTGTTCCTTCCCTTCAGTTCCCAGTAGAAAGGGCCTCACCTTCTTATGTAGGAGGTGTGTGGGTCAGATCGCTGGGCAAATAAACTGTGCGGGAGGACACAGGCCTGGGAGTGGGGATGCAAAGAGGGTCCTCTTTCTCCATCCTTCAACTCTCCTTCTCATTAAGCTGGGAATTGAGACTGGTTTAAAAGGATTAACATAATTAAAATAAGGTACTTTAAAAAGCAAGTTCCAGCATAGAAAGCATTGGTTTTCTCTCTCTCTCTCTCTCTGTTTCTCTCCCCACCTTCCTTTCTCTGTTTCTGTTTCTCACCCTCACACTCCTCCTCCCTTGTATTCCTTTCTTTCCCATTTATCTGTGATCCCAGTGTGCTGTTTCAGCCAAAGCCGGAACCCTTCCTGATGGATGCATACTTCAGGTTCTATCTGTTTACAAAAGGCTGATTTTCCCATCCTTGATATTTCTCCTAGAAATTAGGTCCTGGAGAGATGGTGGGGGAATTCTAAGCCATTGTTATGTTCTGTAGGAGACAAGATCACTCCAAAAGATGCCTCTTTGGCATAAGGATTATTTTGGCCTGAAAGTAATTGAGAAGAAGCAGACGAAAAGCTCTCCGCCTCCCCCATTTGCCTAAAAGCAGGACATCCATTTATATAGACAACAGTGTCCCTTCTCCCCTCTCTGCCAGGAAGAACAAAGGTTGATCACTAAAGACAACTTAGGATCCTTACCAATGAGAGGATAAAAATAAGGATCACTTATCTGGAGACCACCACTAGAGGAATCTACATGACAAACTTCACTAACTAGCCTTCAGCTACCGTATGTAGTAATGCTCCCCATAATGATGCTTGGTCAACACTTATATAATGGTGATCCCATAAGATTATAATAGAGCTGCCCTATAGAGGTGTACCATTTCTTGTCTTTCACATGGTGTTTTTACTATACCATTTCTAGGTTTAGATGCATAAATACTCCCCGTTGTGTTCCAATTGCCTACGGTATTCAGTACAGCAGCAAGCAGTACAGGTTTATAGCCTGGGAGCAATAGGCTCTACCATACAGCCTGGGTTTGTAGTAGGCTCTACCATCTAGGTTTGCGTTAAGTACCTTCTATGATGTTCACACAATCAGGGAATTGCCTAGTGACACATTTCTCAGAATGTATCTCTGTCGCTAAATGCTGCATGACTGTATTTTCCTTCTCACACTTTGCTGCCCCTGGAGACTCAAGGTTCTTTTCCTTTGTCTTGCCACTTCTCTAAAAATCTTCTGTTCTTTGCTGAAGAGGCTATATAAGCCTAAAATCAAAGCTCTCTGTGAAAATGATGCATTCCTTGGGTATCTCCCATGCGTAGTTGAAAGACATGTTGATAAACTTCTGTTTGTTTTTTCTCTTGTTAATTTGTCTTTTGTTACAGGGGTCCATTCCAACTAAAAACTAAGGGTAGAGAGAAAATTCTTTTTTCCTTCCCCACGCTTTCTTTCAGTAGGATAGTTTATCTCTCTGTCCAAGTACAGAACTCACTGTCCAGGGAAAATGGGGCCATAGAAGAATGTGGATTGTGTGTTGTATATGCATTCAACATTTACGTGTGTGAGAGGCATGTTAGACTCTAGCACCTTAATGATTAGGCCATACACATACGTATAGACTTGATTACATGGTAGGCACTCAGGGACCAGTAAATAAAATGTTAAGTGGTCCCAGGGCAATTAGGGACTTCTGACACAATACAGCATATGCACAAAATCTCCCCCACTGATTTAAAATTTTTTTGATACCACTATTTTAAGAGGTCTTTCTTCATATTAGTACAATGTTACAACAACTCACCTCATTCTTTGCTGTATAGTAAAATTTCCCTAATTGGGCCCAGCATTTTGGAATTTATATTAATTACAACACAGTGATTGTATTGGGTAAGAAGTTTGAAAGAAGAGTTGTAATTTAGAAATCTGTACTTTTATGAGCACTATACATAAGCCACAGGGTTTTTATAAATTGTAATCTCAGGTTCGTTTAGGCAATTTTTCTTATTAGCACCCCATTTATTTCTGAGTTTATAGCATCTGTAACATGTAACATAATTATCGGTGTTTCTTTTAACACATCCTAGAGTTTGAATGTTTTATAAAAATTAATTCAATTGGGACTCACAGTCTCCCATCTTTCAAAATAGTAAGATTTTACTGTATTGGTTTTGGACCCCATTCCTCGGCAGCTTTCTTTAGCCATGGACAAGTGAGTCAGTGGAAGCTAATTCGGGAGGGAGGCGTGGTTGTTCAAAGTGTCAGAGTTGACTCGATATGGTTGTAGACTGTTGGCTATTACCCATGGACAGCCCCTTCTTTCCAGGCCTGCTATGGCCAAGAGATGCTTCACCTTTTCTCCCTACCGCAGCTGTCTCTTGAGCCCGCTGTGCCATCTTGCTGGTTATCGTCTTTGTTCCTTCCCTGACCTGGTTATGATTTTCCTATAGCAAATAAAGAAAGCTGGGATTGTCACCTTTCTTTTCCTACAACTTGGAAGTCTGGGCACACTGTTATGAGTCTTTGTCTAAAGAGTCATGGGGAAGGTAAGTCTCTCCCCTCCCCTGGGCTCTCTCCTCTTCCTCCTTATCTCCTTTAAAAACCTTCCCTGAGTCCTCCCTGAGTCAGGATTAGTTATCCTCACCCTCTGTCAGTGCATTTAGGAGCAACATGCAAAGAACAGGAGTTTTAGCTCCTTCAAGACCTGAGTTTAAATCCCAGTCCTAATGCTTGTAGCCTTGTAACCATAAGCAAGCTTCTGAATATCTGTCTATTTCCTTAGAAAAAGAGATAGCAAAACTTCTTGCAGCGTAGTAGGAGGATTAGAGATAATACACATCAGCATATGTAGTACCAAAAAAGCAAATGTTCAAGAATGGTAGCTATTTTTATTATTCTAGCACTTCCCACACTGTACAGTGATCATGCTCACTTGTCTGTCTTCCCCTCAGGACTGTGAGCTCTTTTTGAGACTATTTTTGTATCCCTGAACTTTGGAACAAAAGCTGGCATGGAGTGGACGTTACATAAATGTGTTTTGGATGAATGAATTAATGGGAATTAATGGACATCTTTAAATAGCCTGGCTTGGTTTGTGCATTATTAAGTGGGCCTGTTTCTTGGGACCTATTGGAGATTAGAGGCCATTCTAAACAATGAGGCAATCAGAACAGGGAAAAGAACAAAGTGAAGAAATTGGATTCAATATTTTGGTTCTTAAAACGTTGCATGCCTACAGATAATGAGAAAACTCACCATATGTAAGACTGAAGGTAACTGACATGCTTGGAATGTCGTATTCTCAACATTAGAATGATACATCACAGGTTTTCTTTCCCCCAACTACTGGGCCTTTCTCATTTATAGGCAGGACAATCACTATTTTCCTTCCAGGTACCACTCATGAGAAATATTCAGACCTTATAGGAGCTTGCAAAATAAACAGTTGTTGGTATCTCCTTGGGAAGAAGAGAAAACCCAAAGCTTTGATAGATATTAAACTGGAGCCCTCCTGGGAGATTCTAAATGGCTCATAAATACAACTGGTGGAATATTGCCTGCATGTATTTTCCACTTACACTCACCTTTGAGGTTCTGTTCTGGCCCCTTGAGAATCGATACACACAATAACAGAATTGCTGATATATTAATCTTTCTGCTGATCTTAGCATTTCTTTCTACCAAAGTGGGAATAAGGCTGGGAGAGGAAGTGAAATCCAGAGCACTGTGAAAGTAATGGGGGAAAAATTTCATTTCCAGAATTCAGAAAATATATGAAGTCGTTCTCTTTCTCTAACCTCAAAAAGGCACCTTGATAGAGTGCCCTGGCTGGACGAGAGCCATGGAATTCAGTTTATCATGAGCACCCTGCACCCTCCTCAGTCCTGGTTTTGTGACCTTTTAAGAACAAAGCCAACACTCCAGGTCACGTCTAGGCTAGAAGTTCCATTAGAACAATGAGCCACCCACTCCAGAGCCCTCACTGCGCCAAAAGGTTTTCATTCCCATGCTATAGCTTATCACAGTAAAGGGGAGGGAAAAATAATGCTTCCTCTGCCCTGTCTGAGTTCTTAATTAGGACAGACACCTGTAAAGACAGACTAACAAGAGAAAAACAAACAGAAGTTTATGAACATGTATATCTCATGTATACAGGAAACATGCAGGGAAAATGAGTGGGTTTCAAGAGTAAATCTCAAAGCTATGGCTTTGACTTCAGGCTTAAATATCATCATTTGCTGAAACAAGAAAGAAGCAGGTAGGGAAAGCCAGTTATGGGAAGATGACCAGAAAAGTACTATAAACAAGAGCAAGGTTTGTTATGCACATTTAACTTGGTACCTTCTCCCTTGATCAGAGTCTCTATTGACTTAGTCACTCTTCTGTTCCTTGTGCAAAGGGAGACACCTTTACAAATGGAGATTTCTCTTACACGTGAATTTCTCTTTTTTCTTTTTTTTTTTTTTTTTTTTGAGACCGGGTCTCACTGTCACCCAGGCTGAGTGCAGTGGTGTGATCATAGCTCACTGAAACCTTGACCTCTGCCTCCTGGGCTCAAGTGATCCTCCCATCTCAGTCTCCTGAATAGATGAGACTATAGGCATGTGCCACATTACTGGCAAAACTTAAAAAAAAAAAAAAACTTTTGTAGGGATGGGGTTTTGCTATGCTGCCCAGGCTTGTCTTGAACTTCTGGAGGCAAGCAATCCTCCCGCCTTGGTCTCCCAAAGTGCTGGGATGACAGGCGTGAGCCACTACACTTGGCCAAATTTATCTTATAAAAGGGTCACTTCTGCTGTTTCCAGAGCCTCTCCTGTGGCTACCATTTCTCAAAATAATGAGCTCAAAATAATCCTAATGCCAAAAGGACATTTTTGGGGGTGGCATATTCTGGTGCTTATTGTCATATTTTGGGTTGACACGTCCTGAACCCCATCATTAGCAAAGGGGTCGTTTTTAGGTATTCAGGACTGAATGCACTCCATAAGGTGAAACTGGTGGTGAACATCTAAGATTTACACCAGCTGCAGAAGGAGCCCCCGGGTTGGGGAGGTGGGAAGGGGATTTCCCTTGAAGATGAGCCTGAAAGACTAATACCATTACCTAAATTCTCCAAGTGAAGGTTATCAGAAGGAGGGAAAAAAATCAATTCCTTTATTTTTGTGTGGGTTTTTTCTCCTGCCCCCCTACTTAGAAAACAAATAAGATTATGATCCAAAAAACACACAGATGAATGGTGCGCAACTCTCTCCATGGCAGGGCGAAGAGTGGCACCAAGAGCTAGGAAGTGGGGAAGTACAGGCTCTGGGGTGAGACAGTGCTGGGTTAAATGGCTGGCCCTTGGCTTCCTGGGCAAGTCACCTCACCTCCAGGAGGTCCAGTAACATCTTCTTTAAAATAACAATTATAGCAGCCTTTCTGGTTTGGTGTGAGAATTAAACGAGATAATGAGAAGTGGTGGATGTTGTTTTGGATTCCTGTATTGTGTCAGTCCTGATGGGGATGTAGGATTCTGGCCACCATGGAAGCTGAACCTTTCATATTTCTTCTTCCAGGTTCTCCCTTCCAGGGGACAGCTGCAAAATTACCTGTGGTGTCTGTGTCGGGGCTCAGAATGCTGTACCCCAAAGTATGGCACCTTGGGGTGCTGATTATTTTTGAGCTGAAGGAGAGAGGAAGGCCTCAGAAGCAAGGAGGTCTCTCTGACCTTCTCCCACCTTCCTGTCTTCTGCCCCTCTCTCTCCTCAAAAGCAAGCCATAAAACACAGAAAGGTCACTCTCTGACCTACCGCTCCAAAAATAGGTCATAAGATCCTCATATGACAGGTGTCCTGCCCTATACCTGGAGGAAAGGAATGTTACACGGAGAGATTGAGAAGAATATGAACAAATAGTTTTGCTGGGATTCCCACTCAGTTTTATGTCATTAGATCACACCCTTCTTGTCCAGTTGAGTTTCTCCACACACTTCTTTCATCAGACTTAGCATCAAAATAGTTCTCCCTGTGTCTTTAGGCCTTCATTTCCGAGGGTTCGTATGTCACGTAAAACTTGATAAATGTGTTATGCATTTAGTCTGTCTTTTGTAATAGGGGTGTCAGCCATAAACCTTGGAATGGATAAGGAAGACTTATTACTTTTTCACCCACACAGCTGCGTCAGGGATCCAGGTTCTGATGGTGGTGAGGCTGGAAGCAGATCCTAAGCGGAGTGAACCTGTGACAAAATCCACACATTATCCCCACTCCCCAGCTCTTCTTCATGTTGACTCATGCTAACAGCTTGGTTTTCTAGCCCTTGGGTCAATTCTATGAATTACTGACACTTTTCCAACAAATTCCTTTTCTGCTCAAAATTAATAGGTATTGTCTTTTGCTTGAATCCAGAAGCTGTGACCATTATCGAGGGGAGAAAAAGTAATATGTCCTCTCACCTATTGCAAGATTCATGGCTAAGACACCCACAATAAAAGAGTAGCAAGAAAACAATTATACAAATGTATTTACGTTTTATGTAACATGGGAGGCTTTAGAAATGAAGATTCCCCCCCAGAAAAAAAAACAGAAAAATATGTATATTTTTATGCTTAGGTTTGGTGTTGGATGGACAGTTGTGCAGAACTGTGACTGGACAAAGGGGGTCTGATGTAATAAACAGGAGGGAACTTAGCAAGGCCTGTTTGTTCAGATTCTTCTCTGTGTCCTTGTGTCTTCAGAGTTAAGGACATTCCTTTCCTCTAGATATAGGGAGGGCACCTCTGGGATGAGCAGGGTCTTAAGACCTGCTTTAGAGGAAGCTCAGGGTATTCTTTTATGATCTGCTTCAAAAGAGAAGGGTGGGAGAAGGTCAGAGAGACCTCCTTGCTTCTGCAGTTTCCTCAAATGCCAAGGTGCCATATTTTTGGGTAGCATGTCCTGAACCCCATCAATTACAATATGTAAAGAGCATAATACTGCCAGAGCACCTAGCAGAATGCTCATGAAAGTAGGCACTCAATGCAAGGGAACTATGGTTATTATTAGCATTCCAGGGTTTCTACTATTAGCTTTGGCATTCCAGGATTTCACATTTGATTCAACTACAGTCATGCATTGCTTAATGGTGGGGCTGCATTCTGAGAAATGCATCCTTGTGGGAACATCATAGAATGTGCTTACACAAACCTAGCCTACTACACACCTAGGCTATATGATACAGCCTGTTGCTCCTAGGCTACAAACCTATATGGCATGTTACTGTACCGAATATCATAGGCAATTGTGACACAATGGTATTTGTGATATAAACATGGAAAGGTGAAGTAAGGATATGGTATTTTAATCTTATGGGATCATCGTCCTATATGTGGTTTGTTGTTGACTAAAACATGATTACATGGTACATGACTGCATTCAGTAATCCATGAAGTGTAATAATTTGCTGAAATACAAATTTAAATTGCCTTTGGAAGAATACACATCAGATTATTTCCTGTTTGCTTTTTTACAAGGAGCACATATTATTTGCAATTATCAGAAATAGTAAATATATTTTCATTTAAAAAAGAAACATGGCTTTGGTTTGAATTGTGTATACTCAAAGGCAAAAAAGTTTTTGTGATTTACTGATCTCCAAATTATTCTGCAATTGTATTCAAGAATGGTATCCCATGGATGGTCAGGATCTTCTATTAGAATAACCAACTGTAAAGAGACTTCATGGATAAAGAAACTCTAAGAAAATAAAATTTAATAATCTGTATTAAGGCCTGGATCATAATCTACATTCAAATAGTAATCAATATATTAATAGCCATTTGCCCCATTCACAAGCTTGACTATGCATGCTTCACTGCTAAAATATTTTGTCGGTCAGCAAAGTCTTTGTGACTCAAAGGATGGTCCCTGGACCAGCAGCATCGATATCACCCATGGAGCTTGCTAGAAATGCAGAATCTCAGGTCCCATCCTAGGCCTACTGATTTAGTATCTGCAGTTTACTTAGCCTGGTGCAGTGACCCAGGCCTGTAATCCCAGCACTTTGGGAGGCCAAGGTGGGAAGATCGCTTCAGCCCAGGACTTTGAGACCAGCCTGGGCAACATAGCGAGACCCCACCTCTAAATAAAAAAAGAAATAGAATCTGCATTGTACAAGATCCCCAGGTGACTCATAATAGCATCAAAGTTTAAGAAGCATTGATAAGTACCTTGGCCATTAGCAGTTGGAGGAGGTGTCAAGGCGTTTCCCCAAACCAGATTCGGATGAAATTTGTAAATCCATTTTCAAGTATCAAGGATTTACTTGTTAACCAAAGTGAGTACTATATTCTCTAAGGGAGTAGCCCAGGGAAATTTCTGTCTTACCTCCTGTGAAATTATCAAGGATTTTTGCTTGTTTATCAGATTGAGGGGTTGAAGGGAGCAGAAATCTCTTTTTCTGCTTATCTGCCTCTGGCTTAAACTAAGACTTTAGAGGGCAACAGGGAAAATAATCTTAAATTGTCTGCATTGCTGAAAGGTGGTGATTTCATCTTTTGGCGTGGGATTGGGTCAACTTGCACTTTGCTCAAGCCATTTGTTCAGGACAAGAAGTTCCTGCACCAGAAATAGCGAAGTGTAATCAGCAGAATGGATTAGATCCTGAGGAAGCCGTTATCATGGAGTGTCAGTGAGTAAAATTAACATGTATTTTTAATAAGTTTATAATTACTTATCCTACAATAGACCATATGACCTATTCACTTTTCGTGGACTCAAACACTTAAGCCCTCAAATGCCATTTAGTTTGAAACACACACACACACATACCCACACCCTCTTCCCTCAAAGAAAACAAAGGAATTGTGTTTTGAGCTCTAAAATAGTTTCTTAAGGAGGAGAAATTTGTATTGCTATCAAAGGCAGGAATTTTACACTTGTGTCTAGAAACACACAGTGACACATTTTTGCCCTACCTCGGGCCTTTCCTTTTAACTTGTTGGCTCAATTATCTGAGCTGAGGGGAGCATAGTTGTGCTGAGTTTTCAGCTTAAGTGTTGATTTCCTTGTTTTTGTGAATTTTTGCAGCAGACCTGGTATTGTTATTTAAATAATCATTGTACTTTTTTGTGTGTTAGAATTCCGTTAAATTGAGAAACAAAGGACCCTGTGCTGCTTTCAAGGGGAAAATGCCTCTATTTTCCCATTTCTAGGCTGTATTTCAGGAAGGTCTTTTGATGATATTCTTATGAACTTACTTTTAGAGACATGCATGCATTTTATGACTTCATTTGGGTCTTTAAAAACTGTCGATTAAGCAGTGCCCCTAAAAACAATTTTTTTTTCTTCACTAATAGGCTACAGGAAGTCTCATCTTGTTAGAGTTACCTTAGAGGGGTTCCACATAACATAAAATGACTATCTTTCAACACACTTTGAGGAATGGAATAATCTAAGCCAGGCTTAGGGGGACAAATCAGTCAATTCAAGATACCAGTGTATTTTTAAAATTTATTAATGGAATTTTTAAAAGTCAGCCTGGTCACTTGGAAAATTCTACCTTTTAAATAAGCAAAAGCTGTAGCTTTGATCCACAAGATGCAGATCACCCAGACTCGCAGCTTGCTCATCTCCATCTTCAACCTGCAAATTTAAGAGGAATTATCTGCAACTTGGAAAGGCCAGTTCTAGAAAAGCCACAGTGGGCAGGGCCTCCATTCACCTTTCCTAGCTTTTTAACCCAACGTTTTCTGCAATCAGTAAACGGAATTCAGACTTAGGCTTTCCTGTTATAAACTCCTTCTTTCCACTGAATCACATAACTCCCAGGTAGGAAGGAAACTAACTCTATGTATACCAACTCCTGGGTGGTGAGCACCTGGGGCCCTGACTCTTGGGCTTTGTCTTTGTGTCCTCAGCACCTGGGCAAGTCCGGGACTCATTGTGTCTATTCCCCATGAGCAGCTAGAGCATCAAAGCTGTAATCTTACTTTAGTGGCCTCCCTCTTGGACCAACTTTCACTAACTGAGCCTCTAACTTGATGTGTGAGCTTTGAACGGGGGTCTGTTCACCCAGCACAGTAAAGCCAAACGTCCACACGAAGGTTTTGCAGTGGGAGAAAGGAGGGCATTTATTTGTGGGGCACGAAGGAAGAAGAATCGAGCAGCTCACAGTTAAGACTCAGCCATCCTGATGGCTGACAAGCAAGGCTTTTGAAAGGCAGGGCTACATTTCAGGGAAGCAGAAGCTACCAGTAAAATCATAAATCAACACATGGAGGTTATATGTTGGCTTGAACTAAAAAGGTAAGATATCTGGAAGTGAGGATTTACAGGTCAAAGGTGGTTTCAAAGTTCTCTGATTTGTGATTGATTAAGGAAGTGAAAGTGTCTAAAACCTTGGGGTCAGCAGAAAGGAATATTAAGGTCTGGCCTGTGGACCCTCAGGAAGAAATTTAGTACAAAGAACAGCAGTCCGAGTTCAGTCATCGGTTCCTGTTGGTCTGAGGTCTATGTACCAGTGGATACATTTGGTGGGTGTCTAAGTTTCTGAAAGGCAAATCAGGAATGTATGTTAAGATGTTACGTTTAGTTTCTATATGGAACAAACATCTTGTGACTCTTTCTTGGTTACTGTTTTAAGCTATCATTACCTTCTTGCTTATCAGGTTGTCATTTCCTTCTTAGGGCTAGCTAGGTGCCTAGAATCTGCCTTGAAGGAACTCAAGGTTTTCCTTTATTTCCATGCTTGAGGGGGCCTGGAGGCCCCTAAGTGGGGTCCCTGCTCCATCTCAGCCTCCCTTTGTACCCAGGGAGAGAGGTTTCAATGTACCACTCAGAGAGCTGGACACAGCTTCTGTAACTGGGAGGTAATGAAGCATCTGTGACAGATTCCCCCTAGCACAGCTTTAGTGACCAGTGGTGCCCAGAGAGAGGGTTGTGTCATTACACTCCCCCAAAGGCAGGTCAACATTGCATGACTCCTAGGGACCAGCCCATTTTGGCAATATTGGCGTTGGGCTGTTTTAGAAGACATCCTGAAAGCATTGAAGAGGTGAGAAGAGAGAATACATGAAAGTGCCCACAAGACAAAGTCAACTTGAAGCATTTATAAGGTCTGGAGGCTGTGGTGTCATCTTATGGCAGCATCAGTCAATTAAGAACCTTACTGTCCCCTCTAGTGGAGGAAAAATCATTTTCTTTCTATCCTCCATGGTTCTTAGCTGCGACTCCCAGTAACAAAAGATAGGTTAACAAGAGGACAAACAGAAGTTTAATAACATCTATACCTCTTGTATAGATGGGAGAAAGCCCAGAAAAAAATGAGTAAATCTCTAGAGTAGATCTCAAAGAGTTATCTTAGACTTCAGGCTTAAATGCCATCATTCTCTGAAACAAGGAAAAAGGGGTGTGGGGACACAGGTTGAAGTGGCTGTGACTGGCACCTTAAACGAAGGGAAGGTTTGTTATGCAAATTCAAGTTGATGCCTTCTCCGTAGATTAAGGGTTTCATTTAGGCCTCCTTCTCTTTCTGGTGCAGAGAGGGAGACACGCTGATAATAGAGATTTCCTGTAGAGGTGTAAATGTTTCTCATAAAGGGGTTACTTCTTGGAGCTTCTCCTTGGTCTGCAGTTTCTCAAAATGACAGCTCAGAATAGTCTTTATATCAAAGAGGCATATTTTGGGGTGGCATGCCCTGAACCCTATCCCCTCCTTTCCATCCCTTTCTACCCAACCATTTTACCCGTCAGGTTAGAAAGTAGCTGGTGAGGCCAGACGCGGTGGCTCACGCCTGTAATCCCAGCACTTTGGAAGGCCGAGGTGCATGGATTACTTGAGTACTTGAGGTCAGGAGTTTGAGACCAGCCTGGCCAACATAATGAAACCCCGTCTCTACTAAAAATGCAAATATTAGTTGGGAGTGGTGACACACGCCTGTAGTCCCAGCTACTTGGGAAGCTGAGGCAGGAGAATCGCTTGAACCTGGGAGGCAGAGGTTGCAGTGAGCTGAGATGACGCCACTGCACTCCAGCTGGTGGATGGAGTAGAAGATTGTTGGGGCTCAAAAACTAACTCCAAAATAATGGTGCTTTGACATATTGAACTGAAGAAGGCTCAGTTTCCCTCTCCCACTGTTTCTTCCAAAGAAGTTGAAGTTCCTTTATCCGCCTAAGATCCATGCTCACCAAGGAGAACAATTGTTTTTCTCTTCTGCTTCCAAGGCCAAAAATATAACCATACCAGAGCAAGACTTTCACTGTCAGAGAGCTATTTACAAGTTAATCTCTTATTCCTCTCTTATCCCATTCCTTCTCCCTAGTAATCTTTTATTACCCCTCAGCAGAATCCTTCTTCTCTCCCTCCCATAGCCTGCTTTGTCAGGATGGTATATTAGCTTCTGAACCTCAGTGTGGGGTTGGGTCTTCATTCTGAAGCCTCCTGTATATACACATTAAATAAATTTGGATGCTTTTTCTCATATTAATCAATCTACCTCATGTTAGTGATTTTCAGCAAACCTCCAGGGCCCTCACAAGATTAGCCAGGAAAGCAAAAAAGCCAACCATATCCTCTTCCCCAAAGAAAGGCAGTGTGACTGGTGAAAATAGGGACACTGTACCTTCCTGAGTATTGAAGTTTTGCTTGATGTACTGGGCTGGACATCATTCATTTCTAAATTAATTGAGACATGACTGAGACTTCAAAGAACTGTTTGACTTTTCTATTGCTAAGACTGAACAGAAAGTTGTGGGGAATGTCCTATATTTTATTCCCAGACAAGGGAAAGATTCCCTGGCAGACAGTGTAAAAGAGAACGTGGGTGTCAAAAATATGATGCCCCATGAGGCCTGGATGATGGATGGGCTGGTTACAGTCTCTATTTTCCACTCAATAGAAACTCTTGGGCTGCCAGCAGATATTTGCAGATTCATTTAACAAATACCTGTAGTTGTTGACATACTTGGCACTTGACAGCACTAGAGAGCAACACTCAACAAACCTCATGCTTTACCCTCAAGGAGCTGATGGTCCACTGGGAAATGAAGACAAGTAAGGAGAAAATGAAAGTGACTTTTCAACGTGATAGGTATTGCTAAGGGTGCTGAGATGCACCTGATCTTGTCTCAGAGGCATTCCATGGGAAGTTAGGCTTAATTTGAGACCTGAGGGACCAGTAGGTATTGACTGGACAAAAAGAGGAAGAAGAAGAAGAAGGAAGCAGAGGAAAGAGAAGTGTTTTTCAGACAGAGTCAACAGCAGGGGGATAAAAGCTGCAGAGAGATGAACAGCGAGAAATTGGAAAGTGGAATTGAGAGTGAGAATCACAAGAAATTATAATTGAGAAATAGGGTTGCATCTTGAAGAGCTTTATAAACCACATTCAGTTTGCATTTTAATCTTAGGACAGTGTTGATTTTTAGCAAGGGAAGAATCATATTTGTGCTTCCGAACAATTTTCTCTAAAGTAAGGTAATAAGAAGAAACTATTAGATCCTTTAACTACATTGTTTAAAATGTAACCTTTAAAATTTTCTAATAGATTTATTACCCATAAACTTAATATAGTCGCAGGAGTACGTGCACATAATTTATAAATATACACGTATTTGGGAGTGCAGGGGTGATTGCTTTAGAAAAGTCACTCTGGCTGCAGGCTATGGCAGCATGGAACATGGATTGGAGGACAGCGAGGGCAGAGGCAAGGAGGCTGGTTAGGAGGCTGTTGCACTGACCCATATAGAAATGATAGAGTCAGGAACCAGCATAATGGCATTAAGTGTAGAAAGAAGTGGCTAAATTGAAGCAAGATGTTAATGTCACTCCATGTTTGCAAATAAGACTATTCCATTAGAGATCTCCAGCATCCACAGGCCAGTTAATGAGTCAGGAGAAAAAAGAGCACTGGCTGTCAAAAAATCCAGCCTTCAAGTCCTGCTTTCTTCACTTATTATGAGATTTGGGCAAATCATTTACTTGCTGAGGTTTGGTTTCCTCAATCATAAAAATGGGGCTCTCAATACAAGACCCTACCTGCCACCTGGGTCAAGTGCTGAGCAACTGAAGTAACAAAAAAGGGATGACTTTGAAAATTGTAAAGGATTAGGAAAATGATAAATATTTTTCCAACAAGGACTATATTTTTGTGTATAAGTTGTCACCAAAAACAGGATTTGACTTCATTTTTAATTAAAATGAAGAAGCTAACTATTCTTATGCTTAGCAAAAGACAGCATCTTTTCTTATTAATGTTGAAAACAGTAATAAATGGGTCAAATGGTTATGGCTTTTCCTCCTTGGGAAGCTTTGAGACTCAGTTTCCTTATGTGTCAATGGAAAATAATGGCATCTGTCCTATCTATCTCTTCACTGAACCCCTCAGAAGGGGGACATTAGTACTCACTGAGGTGGCGGTCAGGAACTTTGCTTTCCCCACAACTTCCTTATGTGACCTTGAACAAGTCACGTGACAACCTCTAGCCATGATTTCCTTATCTATAAAGTGTGAGTAAGGTGATTTCCAAGGTGATTTCCAAGCACCTTCCAGATATTGAATATCATTATCTACGAGATGTGAACGATGAGATGAAATATGAAGCATGCTTTGTTACAGTTGTGATTTTATTTGCCTGGTTGAAAAAGAAAGGAGGGGAAGCTTTAGGGGAAATAAAAAGTTTACCACTAGAATTATCTGCACATTAACCAAGTCATGGAAAATGGAAGAAGCTGTGAAGATTTTCTCAATATTGAGAGCCACCAGACAATCGCTGACAATAAAATTGTGAATTCAGCAATTCCATGCTGTGTTTTAATTTTCTGGCACTGGCGTGCCCATTATTTAAGCATGCATTTGGATTGGTGCCAGCCTGCCCTCATCACCACGGCTCAGAAGGGATGCTGAGAAGCCTCCCCCAGCTCACACCAGCAGGTCTGGGGCTCCTGCAAACCCTATTCCTCTGGAAGTTCAGGAAAAGGAGGTAGGACAGCAGACTTTATATAGGACAAAGGGAAACTGGGAGATAATTGGAGAAAAAATGAGGAAGAGAGTGGGAGAGGACAACTGGAGGAAATATTGGAACAGAATGAAGGGAAAAAGGGAGAGAAGGTCCTGAATGTAAATGTTTCATGGCCAACATGAAAAGGGGAAATTAGGCACCAGAATAAGGTAGGAGAAGAAAATAAAAGATGGGAATCTACAGTGACTCTATGTCCCAGATCTCTTTCTAGTCTCTGGTCAGGGGCATGGTGGGTGGACCACCTCCAGCTGCAGTGCCTTCAAGATCTGCTACAGCATTTGAACTGAGGCCATGCTCTTCCCCCAGATCTTCCTGGGTAGCCCCCAGGCAATGGCTGAGCATGGTGAGTGCTTCATGGCCTGGCCAATATTTACCTGATGTGGGACTCTGCTCCAGAGTTCCTCATTAGACTGGTTGACAGTCTCTCAGAGCTGCCCTGTAGGTGAAGATTTTTCCTACCCTACCTTCCTCCCTTTCCCCCTTATGATCGTTAGTTTTCATGGTAACCTGGCTAGGTGACAATGCACAGTCATATAATGAAACACTAATCTAAGTGTATCTATAAATGTGTTTATAGATGTGGTTAGCATTTATGGTCAGTTTGTTAGCAGTGGCGAATCTGTATGGGGCCGGAGCAACCTCAATTCTTGCCTCCTCAGAAGAAAGAATTGGACGGAGGGGCATAAAGGCAGAGTGAGAGACCGACATAAGTTTTAGAGCAGCAGTGAAAGTTTATTAAAAAGTATCAGAGCAGGAATGAAAGGGAGTAAAGTACACTTGAAAGAGGGCCAAGTGGGTGACTCGAGAGATCAAGTCCACTGTTTGACCTTTGACATGGGGTCTTCTACACTGGCAGGCTTCCAGGGGGTTGCATCCCTTCTCCTCTGATTCTTCCCTTGGGGTGGGCTGTCTGCATGCACAGTGGCCTGCCAGCCCTTGGGAGGGGCCGCATGCACAGTGTGTTTATTGAAGTTGCGTGCATGCTTGCTTGAGGTGTTTTTCCCCTAGCAGTTGAGTGTTCTTCGAAGAAAATAATATACCAGGTAAACCCCACCATTTTGCCTCTTAGGGTGCATGCTTGAGCCCACTTGCCCAACTCCTGAGATCTTATGGGGAAGCTGCTGATCACCAGCTTCAGGTATTTTCTTTCTATTGGGAGACTACTTTTCCCTGATGCTGAGTGTGACCAATTACCATTTCAGAGAATCAGTTTAACAACTGCCTGACCATCATCTGATGGTTGCCCAATGTCCCTGGTGGGATCACCGGAGCTCTCCTACCCTGCTCACGTCTGCCTGACAACCTACTGTAAAAACTTGACTTAAAGTAAAGGAGATGACCCTTAATAATGTGGGTGGACCTCATCTAGTCAGTTGAAAACCTTAAGAGCAAAACTGAGGGTTGCCAAAGAAGAAGAAAATCTGCTTTGAGATTGTAGCATTGACTCTTACCTGAGTTTCCAGCCTGCCTGTCCTGCAAGTTTCAGACTTGCCACCCCTCCACAATTGCATGAGCTAATTCCGTAAAATAAACAAACCATCTCTAATTAGTTCTGTTTCTCTGGAGAACGCTCACTAATCCATATCTTTTTTTTTTTTTTGGTGGGGGGGGTGGTCAGAGTTTCACTCTTGTTGCCCAGGTTATAGTGCATTGGTGCCATTTCGGCTCACCGCAACCTCCACCTCCTGGATTCAAGTGATTCTTCTGCCTCAGCCTCCCAAGAAGCTGGAATTACAGGCACCTGCCACCACGCCTGGCTAATTTTGTATTTTTAGTAGAGACGGTGTTTCTCCATGTTGGTCAGGCTGGTCTCGAACTCCTGACCTCAGGTGGTCCGCCTGCCTCAGCCTCCCAAAGTGCTGGAATTACAGGCATGAGCCACCGCGGTGGCCCATCCCTCTTCTTTCATAGACATCAGATCTGCATGATAGTCTGAAGGCTTTCCCTGATCACCCCTGCTCCCTCTTACTTTTATCCTTCATGATGTTACCTTCAATAAATCTCTTCACCTTCTAACTCCATCTTGCCCTCTGCTTGAAAGGAGCCAACCACACCGTGGCATGGCTTCATTTACACTTTTCAGACTATGTGTTCATTTTTACCTTAGAATATCTGAGCATGATTGATAACACCTTGGGAACTTATAACTCTTGAGTGGTAGGAAAAGAAGCTGAAGAAATATGGTGTAAAAACAGAAATGAAAGGGAGGTCGAAGGCTAGGAGAAATATGGGGTCACAGCTAGGAGAAGTATAAAGGAAATTGCCTTTCTGGAAATGTCAGATTTGAATGTTTTGTTTAATAGATCACCTACCAAGGGCTTTTTGCAAACAGTGGCATGGGAATATACCAGGCAGGAAAGCGAAGGAACAGACAAGCACACACTGATGTTTGCCTCATTTTTGCTTTTTGCTCATTGGAGAATCCATCACAAATGTGTATTTCCCCTTTGCCAATTGCCATCTCTTCAATTACCTTACTTAAGAACACACACAAAAACAGTATTCCTTGCATCTGCTCCAATTTTCTCCCAAACTTTTATAGCTTCCTCTGCCTGACTTTTTAACAAAATGAAACTACATTGTAGAAACTTCTGCTATTTCACTGCAGATTTTTTCCTTGGTTGCTTTACTTGTGGTTTATAGAGAGAATGACTGGGAACCATCTGAGGTGAGATGTGTGATACAATGATAATGTGACAACGTCACCCACCCAGTTCACTGCACATGGCTGAGAATGAAATGTGAGTGCCAATTAAAGTGGCCATACCTGTATCCTTGCAGGACATTACCTGACAGCCTCTGAAGTTGGATTTTCCTTTCCAAGCCTGTGTTGACTTTCCTTAAATCTGCAGAGCACCCATTCATTCTTTCTTTCATCTATTTATTTAGCATTTCTTTAGTTAACTGAAGTCCTAGTAGGTGCTGGGGAGTGTGCTGGATGCTGACGAAGTAATGGAATGTTAAACAACATCCCTGCCCTCAGAAGGCTTCACGGTCTATTTTTCAAGTAAATCCTTACCGGGCTGACTGTGTTTCTGGATCACACAGCTTTAAACTTTAATGAGGGTATAGCTTAAGTAAGCTTTGAGACCTTCTCCTGATGTGGCAGCCACGACTAGCAAGCACATCAAGGATGTCTGTTGCTCCACACAGCCAGGGAAGGGACCACAGGCCTTGCTGGCGCTGAGGTCTTTATTGTTGAAAGCCAATTGGCATCTGCCAGTCAAGTTCAGCTCTTATTTGACCCCATTAATTCAGTGCACCAGCCAAACCAGCAAGCACAACTGAGCAGCCAATCTCTCCTCAAATGGAAGTCACTTGAGATGAAGCAGGCAGCGTTGCTGCCCAATTCCAATCAATACAACTTCTGTGATAACTCAGTCACCAATGTTCTGTTTCCAGGGCATCAGAATTCCTTACGCAAATGACTTTGCATTAGCCTGGTGTATTGGTCAAAGTTGTCAGGAAAAAAGAACTGATCAATATGTGTGTGTGTGTGTGTGTGTGTGTGTGTGTGTGTGTGTGTGTGTGAGAGAGAGAGAGAGAGAGAGAGAGAGAAGAGGTTTATCTTAAGAAATTGGCTCCCATGACTATGGGAACCGGCAAGTCTGAAATCTACAGGACAGCCAGGCAGTCGGGAAATTCCAGCAGGAATTGATATGTTAGTCTTGAGTCCCAAAGTCCAAAGGCAGTCTGGAGGCAGAATTCCTTCCTCTTCAGCGTGCCCCAGTCTTTCCTATCAAGACCTTCAACTGATTGGATGAAGGCTACCCAGGTTATGAGGTGAAGAGTGCTGACATATGTCATCCCAGAATATGCCTCTTTGGCATATGGATTATTTTGGGCTAAAGGCCACTGAGAATCAGCAGACACAGAAAAAAACTCTAAAAACAGGTCACACGTTTTCCTTTTGTAAAGGAAATTTCCTTTTGTGAAAGGCATCCCCTTCTGTACCAGGAAGAGGAAGACTCTTAACAATGGTCATTAATGGTGAAGGCACTGATTTAAATCTGCGTAACAAGCCTTAATAAACAACACTTGCTCATCATACTGTTCCTGGTCACCTTCCCATAACTATCCCCTTTCCCCTGAAGCCCTAACCCCCTTTTCCTTTGTTTTTGCCTAAGATGGTATACAAGCCCAGGCTCTAACCACCCCTTTGAGTTCCTCATCCCTGAGTGCTTCCGTGTGTATGTGCGATGCACAGGTTAATAAACATCTGTTTGTTTTCCCCTTGCTAATCTGTCTTTTGTCAGTCTTATAGAGCCTCAGCTGGAGAACCTAAGAAGGGTAGAGAACAAAGATTTTTTTCTGTCTCCTGGAGTAGATAACCTGCTTTACTCAAAGTGTCTGATTTGAAGTTAATCACGTCTGAAAAAATATCTTCACAGCAGCATCTAGACAAGTGTTTGCCAAACAACTAGGCACCATAGCCTAGACAAGATGACACATAAAATTAACCGCTGTCTCTCATGAACTCCAGTTTTAGTGTTTTACCAAATGGTGGTGGAAGGTATCACTTCACATTAAAATTAAGAAAGACAGAAAAATCTAAGCATTTTTGGTATGGTTTTAATTATTTTCAAAGAATTACACAAGGAATACATGATTATAGCCAAAAATTTATGCTACATTGATTAAAAAAACAATTTAATTATAATACCACAATTCTAAAGTAATTGCTGTTATTTTTTTTACATGCAATATTCCCATTATTTTCTTACAATGGGGTCCTACATAGGGGAGAAAAAAGCTCTTCCTTCACCCATGTTAAGCTCTTCAGATGAGGCCCTATAAGTTAGACTGGCAAAAGACAGACTAGCAAGAGAAAAACAAACAGACTTATTAACATGCATATTATGCTTACGTATGGGAGCACCCAAAGATGAGTAAACCAAAGGCATGGTTAGAGGGCTTATATACTGTCTTAGGCTAAAACAAGGAAAAGGGAGGGAGAGACCTAGGAAATGTATGGTAAACAAGGATTGTTTATTGAAGTTTGTTATGCAGAATTAAGTCAGTGCCTTCTCCATTAATGAGAGTTGTTAAAAGTCCTCCTCTTTCTGGTACGGGTAAGGGAGACATCCTTTACAATTTTAAAAGGAAAACTTTTGACCTGTTTCTAGAGTTTTTCCTGTGTCTGCTGATTCTCAATGGCCTCTAGCTTAAAATAATCCATATGCCAAAGAGGCATATTTTGGGGTGGCATATCTGGCACCACCCTTCACCTACTCTACCTAATATTGTAGAACTTGCTTTTTGTACTTGATCACACACTGGGTGAATTATTTCAAGATAATATATATTCTTCTACTACAACAGCATTCTTAATTGTCATCATATATTCTATTGTGTAAATATACCATCATTTACCTAACAAATCCTTTATGACTAGACATTTAAAACATTCCAAATTTATCCCCATTATACACAAGTCTACAATAAATGTCTTTGGTCATTTGTCTAAATAGTCTTTGTTCATTCATCTATTTATTTCTCTCTGATAAACTCCAGAAAGGGGATTACTAGGTCAACAAGTGTGCACATTTTCAAGAAGCTTTTGATACATCTTGACAAGCTGCTCTTTAGGAAAATACACCAATTAATACAAGTACTATTGTTTTAATAGCATGTGTTTATCAGCTTATGTTACTTCCATATAATAATAAATACCTCTGAATCCTCTATTTTCAGAATTAAGCTTGCAAGAAAAATTCTTCACAAAAATACAAGTCTGAAGTACTAAGAAAAAGAAAAACTGTTTTAATCCTACCCTTTGGCTTTTAAGAAAATTCTCATTTTAGCATTTTTTAAAAATTAAATATATTTCCCTCCATTGATGCACCATTCTACTATAAATTTGATACTGCATTATCTAAGAGTAAGGTGATTTAAGAGACAGATGACTTAAGAATACATGTATGTGTATAAAAAAAGTAATGATGCTTAGTATTTGAGGATTGGCAGGCTGGGTGAAATGAAGGCTAGGTGAGGATAACCAGATTTTCCAGTTCCAGAATTCATAAATTGAATACTTTTATAGTAGGAATATACTCTCCACAATCACCCATACTGTGACCTTCCATCAAATCAGATCAGAGAAACCCTAGAGCCAGTCTTAATGCAAGTTAATAGACAGTAGGCTGATGCCCCCCTGAGTAGACATGGACCACAGGACTCTGAGTAGTTTGCTTAAATATATTCTTCAAGTGAAACAAAGAAGGACATGGGAAAGCCCACTAATAGGGCGTTATCTAGGAAAAGTAGGGTAAACAAGAGCAAGGTTGTTATGCAAATTTATGTGGGTGCCTTCTCCATTGATGAGTCGATTTAGTCATTCTTCCCTTCCTGGTACAGAGAGGGATGGAGATTACAAATGGAGATTTCCTTTATAGATGCAAATTTCCTCTGCAAAAGGGTAACTTATACTCCATTTTCAGTCCTGTGTCTGCAGCTTCTCGAAATAATCAGCTCAAAATAATCCTTATGCTAAAAAGGCATATTTTGGGGTGGCATATTCTGGTCTCCTACACTAGATATACTCATCAGCACCAAACGTCCTAGACACCACCAGCAGACATAAACACACACTCACATGGCTAACTGGAAGAATCACCTTGACTTTGTCATGAAAGTCACAAAAGCAATTTTGTTAATGACTCAAGACCTTCGATCAATTACAGTCAGAGGTTCAATAAATGTTTGTTGCATTGAATTGCTCAATGTTAATTGTCTGTCTCATCCTCAGGTGTTCACATGAGGGGCACTTTGCAAGCATAAAGGGGATTGACAAAGTGACATTTTTATTCATGTGCACCTAACAAGACGGAAACCAGAGGAAGCAGAATGAGAAGTGTGGTTAGGCACCAACTTTCTTCATGTTTATCAGGGGCCGAAGAGGTGGATGGGAAAGAAAGGATCGATGCATCAGAGCACAGGATTAATGCAACGTATTAAGTGCAACCCTGTAATCTAAGTGCAGCCCTATCTGCCTCTCCAGTAACAGCAACCACACACATTTCCTAGGAGCCAGGAACAGTAACAGCACACAAAAATTCCAACCAGGATTAAACTGGAGGTGAAGTCACTGCTGCCCCATGATGCCTCACTTCTGAGCTGTCACTGCACACCTCTTTACTGACTCCAACATGCCAATTAAAAAGCCTGGCTTGCAGCGGGACAATAGGCTAGAACGTGGGTTTCATTCTTTTCCATCTGAACAAAAGCAATGTCTTTGCTCCTCGAGCTCCAGGGACTGTGAGGCAGGGGAGCCCTTTTGAATGGTCCCTGCCACCACACACTTCCCAACTATCGACACCGGCTAGATAGGTAACAAAAGGGGAGTCAAAGGTAATGAATCAGAATTTGCAGAGTTTAGCTGCTATGGGTGTGGGAGGGCCCCCAGAGAACGGCCAACGGACCCGATCCATTTGTATCACTTGTTAACCAAAATTGTCAGTGACTTTGGAACAATTATTGCCTTCCTGAAACCAAAACCTGCACAGCACAATAACTCTTGAGCCTCCCTTCTCTGCATTAATAATCATGTTCATGGTGCTTTACTTAGCAGGTTACAATGTTGGCTTACTCTCAGGCTCTCTGCAGTGAACAAATTAAAGAGGCTTGCTCTGTTCCATGAAAATACTCCAGCTCAGCCTATTCATTTTCCTAAATGCTTCTCCACTTCAAATTGGCATTCCAGCCATGTGGCATATATTTTTTAAAAGCCATCGCATGGGTCAATAATGTTAAACCCTTACCCATGACAATAATTTACTCTCATCGACTGTGTACATACACAGAGAAGAAATACACACATAGTGTGTGTGCTCATACTCTGATCCCTTTGGTGTCTCTCAGCATTGTGGACTCTCTCTTCCTATTGTGTTTCAGTCTTTTTTTTAACTGGCGGTCTCTTTCTCCTGCAAAGAGAGATTACAAATACAATCCTAGAATTGTAAATAGAACGGTGGCTGCCTTTTGTTCGGCTTCCTGTCCAAGTTGTTACAACCTTTGTCATGGTAATGAGCCATCAGAATTTCATAGCCTGAATACCCTCTCCACTCTTCCAGTTTATTGTGTGCCTAAATTTGGATGAGTTTATGGTCTCCGTCAGTGCTGCCCGTGGATAAAGACAGCTGGAAAAGTTGACCCGCTTTAAGACGACCAAAGGTTCTTCATGGAAGTAAAAGGTTTACTGGCAACACAGGAAATCCTGAGAGCACTGTCTGGAAATTTGGACGGGGTAATATTCACCTGCCAAGGTTTTCCATCAGGTCTTGAGAAAGGTCGGTGGGTTTTCTACCCTACTTAACTTTTCCCCAGTTGTGACAGAGTAGCTTTTCTCTTTCATTCAAGGGATGTGTGTTGAAAATCTGTTCTGTACTAGGCAGTGGATGCACTGAGGAGAAAAAATAGGGCAGGCCAGGAACACCGAGGCACAGCTGAATACATATTTATGCCAGTGCAAAGAAACAGAAAACTGGGTTCATCTTCATACTGAACTTCATATGACTCAGATCAAATTTCCTCAGTGAGAGCCCATTTACAATAGCCATTATGCTGATGAACATGCCACCGGCTTCCCCAGTGAATACCCAATGAATACCCATTTCTGAACTTGCTCGATAAGAACACGGCTGAAGGTAGATTCCTACAAGGTAAATTCCTATTACTGTCACTTAGGTTGTGGCTTTAGGTAACTGATATGTACGTGACATCACATTATCTACGCTACAGTACTTTAAAGCAAATGACAGATGTTGTAACAGTTTACAAGATGACCCATCTATATTTGATTACTGACAGGCATGAATAATTTACTTCAATATTTCATTAAAATTGTGCCCTGTTAATTAGATGGAGGGTTTTTTGTGACAAAGCACAAACTGCTGGGGTGGGTGGTCTGTGAGGTTGTAGAACATAAAAGGGCTTTTTATTCCCCCAGCAGATGGGGCCCCGCAAGGATAAAAGAGACTTGAGAGCCACTTAAATTGGCCTCAGGACCCTCAGTGTTGAAGCTAAGTGCTGGCTGTGGTTAAATTTATGTAAAGCGCCTAGCACAGTGCCCGGCACCCAGCAGCTGCCGAGAGCTATTAGGATTTTTTTTCCCCAAGTGTTGGGTGTGTGTGGTTAGAAACTTAGTGCCATTTCCAAGCAGGTGTGACTTTCAGTTAAGTGACTTCCTGAGTTTGTATGAGAAATCATTGGTGAAACCCAGAATAGAACTCAGAGTCTTTGCATTCGATTTCCAATCCCATCCCTCTTCTCACTGGGTTGCCTGCCCTCCTTCTGCATGGGCACCTTTGCCAAGAGAGAATGAGATTCTCAAAGCAACTAAAGTCCTCTGGTAGTTTTCAAATGGCCAGTTCTGTCCTCCTCTCAAAATATACTTTGCTCTTGTATTTCCAGTTTCAAAGTAGCAAAATGCAAAGTCCTGTCTTCCTTCCTTCCTTCCTTCCTTCCTTCCTTCCTTCCTTCCTCTTCTTCCTTTCCTTTTTCCTTCCTTCCTTCCTCCTTCCTTCCTTCCTTCCTTCCTTCCTTCCTTCCTTCCTTCCTCCTTCCTTCCTTCTCTCCCTCCTTACATCCCTCTACAAGTATCAGGCCGTGGGGAGCGGGAAAGGAAAGAAAGAAAAGGAAAAAAGACTGTCAAGTGTTTTTTATCATGCAGATGTATGTTGGGGGCATAGAAGTGGCAGGGATTGGAGACTATAGCAGAAGGAGCCCAGGCTCATCTGCTGCTAAAAATAATAAAATTCTAACTTCAGAAAATGTTGAAATATGGCTGGCGTGGCATTGTTTTTGTTGCCTTAGGAAGATACCCTCACTTGACCAGACGATTAAGAAACCTGAAAACTGCGTGTTACTGAACCAAACTTTGGGTCACCCACTCAGTGAACAGAAAAAGCCAAAAGCCAAAAACGAACACCACTGGTATTTGCAGTGAAAGAGAGGCATGTATTTCAGGGTGCCAAGCAAGGAGAACTGGGCAGCTAACACTTAGGACTCAAACTCCCAGACGGATGACAAGCAAGGGTTTTTACAATTGCAACTTCTGCTTTCCTGAAATGTACTTTGAAATGGACATTTAAAGGCATTAAATGTATAGTTGCAGTCGTAACCAAGACAAGGAAGGCATGCAGCCAATACAAGGAATTGTAAACCAAAACAAGGAAGTTACCCATTGGTTTGGCCCTTCGTAGGGGGACATCTTGAAGCAGAGGCTTACAGGTCAGAGGTGGATTCAGAGATTCTTTGATTTGCAATTGGTTAAGGAAGCAAAGCTTTGTCTAAAAACTTGGGGTTAGCAGAAAGCTATGTTTAGTTTTGGCCTGAGGGTGTGACTTTCTCCAGGCACCTCAGGAGGAAATTTAGAACAAAGAACATCAGTTAGAGTTCAGTCCTCAGTGCCCCCTTATCTGAGGTCTATGTGACGGTGGTCAACATTGTCTATCTGGTGGGGCTCCTGTTTCTGAAAAATAGCTCAAGGATACGTCAAGATAATATCTTTTAGTTTCTATAGGGAAGCAAACATCTTGTGACTCTGGCTTACTTGGTGGCTATTGTTTAAGTTACTATTATCTTCCTGCTTAGCAGGTTATTCATTTACTTCCTTAATTGCTGGTTGTAGGGTTAGCTAGGTGCCTGGAATTTCCCTTGAAGGGACTCAAAATTTTCCCTTTGTTTTTTGCTAGGTGGGGAGGTGTAGCTTGGAAGGCTCCTGAGAGGGGTTCCTGCTGTTTCATACACTTTCTCTGACCAGGCTTTCCTGAACTGGGGATAAATAGCGCATCTGCAAACACAGTGATGCCACCAGGTCAAGGTCAACACTGATATCTCAATGGCTACTAGGCCCATGTCTAACAATTCCTCATGCTTTACCCTGGCCCGTAAGCTAAAAATGTTAGGCAAAACATTGCCCATTCTCCTGCCTGTCCTCTTCCTTCTCTGGTCTGCTCCCCTCTCTGTGGAGAGGAAACTCCTGATTTGCTGAGAAGTTTCTCAAAAGCTACAGTGCAAATCACCCTAATTGTTTGCTAGATGAACAATGATCACTCTAACCTCCTAATTAACATTGTTAAAATCTGCTAACAAAGGACATTTAACAATATCTTAATTAGGAAGGATTTCCAATTTGTGATATGGAGCATGTTAGACAAACAGAGCACAATTCTCCCTTTGTTCCTGGGCTCGGTAGCCAGAGAGATTACAAGATATGACACAACATGTTCTGCGTTTGCCATTTATCATTCTATATCCTTTACACATTTGCACTACATAATTAGTATCTTGGCTAATTTTACCTGTGTTATTGTTTGCACTGTAATTTGGAGAGAATAGAGTGGGTGATACGGGTGATTTAGATTGGGGCAGGCATCTGGTTCTCCAGTTCTCCCTCCCACTGACTGCGGCTCCCAAATGCCTGCTGGAAAATACCCCAGCTAGCAGAGAAAGCAAACTTCTTGGGGTCTCCAGTTGCAGATAATGGGGTATAAAATGAATAGCCTTTTGGGTCATTCCAAATAAATATGCAGATGACTAACCCCCATTCCTTTTCCAAGCTCTTACAGCTTATTTTAAAAGCTCCTATTATCTATCACTTAATTATTAAAAAGTGTCTACTCTGTTTTCATAAATTATCTATGTGTTGGAGATATTGGCATATGAGAGAGTCGTGGGGAAAAGGGAGGTTCCAAAGCCAATTATCCCAGCGGAGAAGGTTTTAGAATATAATGGGATCCCTGAATTATTTTATACCAGACCTTTAAGGATGTGTGTGTGTTTGGTTAGGGTGAATGGGAGGAGGTGGTAGGGGACAGGAAGGGTTAGGATTTGTAATAATCCCTAAGTCATTATTCTCATCTATTTTTTGAGGACATTCTTATTGTTGGGCCATTTTCTATGTGTCTTAATTTCTTTATGCTGAAGACAGAATAAATCTTTGAAAGAAATTAACATTGTATGTTATTTGGAATTGCCATTTAAATAAACTACATTATCTAAACTAAATGAGAAAACGTAAGAAAAATACATTATAGCAAGCCTGGTACATAGTTAATACTAAATCAATTGTAGCTATAATAAACTGTGTTATAGAGCTATATAGAATATATGATGACAGATGCATTACACTGTCAATGGTGCTATATATAATACATAGTATATTGCATATGTAAGGATGGGAGAGGCTTTCCCTCTACCCTCCTAGGTTTGACAGCTAGGCCTAGGAAATAAATTGACGACAGACAGATTAACAGGAAGACAGGTATACACAGAAACATCACAGGAAAAAAGCGACTACCTAAAAAGACAGTGAGATTTGGGAGTTTATATGCCATCCTCATAGGGGAAGGTGTGTAGAGTGGTGGTGTGGGTGACGTTGGGGAGAGGAAATGATTTTTAGGAAGATGCATGGGCCCTTAGAAGAATAAATGGGATGTGGTCCCAGCTACTCGGGAGGCTGAGGCAGGAGAATGACGTGAACCCGGGAGGCGGAGCTTGCAGTGAGCGGAGATCACACCACTGCACTTCCAGCCTGGGCGACAGAGCAAGACTCCGTCTCAAAAAAAAAAAAAGAAGAAGAAGAAATGGGAGATATGATAGTCGGTGACAAAGTTCATCTGGGGGTATATCCTCCCCCTTTTCGTGCTGCTAAAAAACTACCACAGGTAGGGTAATTTATAGAGAACAGAAATTTATTTCTGACAGCTGTGGACGCTGAAGAGTCTAAGTTCAAGGGCTGGCATCTGGTGTTTGGAGAGAGCCTTCTTGCTGCCTCCTCACATGGCAGAAGAGGGAAAGGCAAGAGAGTCAAACTCCTTCCATCCAGACTTTTTATAAGGGCACTAATTCACCAGGGAGGAGCCCTCATGGCCCACTCACCTCCCAAAGGCCCCACACTCTTCATACCATTGCATTGGCAACACCTGGATTTTGGCCTGGACACATTCAAACCACAGTGGGGCAATGTGGACTTCTAATCTCCTCTCCTGTGATAAGAGTTAATCTTCCTTGTTGATGGAACTCACCAGGATGGTGGTGGGGAACAATTGAGTTCCTTTTGGAGGTTCTGTCTTTAGGCCGATAAGGGAAGTACAGAGAAAGTGTTTCCTTGGATTTGCTGTTTTCAAGCGCCTTCAGCTTAAAATAATCAATGTACCAAAGCAGTCTATTCTGGGGTGGCATGTCTTGTACACCTTCACATTTAATATGTAATCTAATAAGATGCTCAGAGACAATTTCTAGTCTCTGGTCTGAGCTGCTACGTGGTTTCTTCCCTGAAGACATCGGAGAGTAAGACAAAAAGGGGCAACTTCCTCCTTTCAACTTGCTGGGCACAACCACCAAGAACTGTAAAGTGAGATAGAAACCAGAAGAAAACGAAGCAAAAACCACTTTTCAATTGGAAACTGTGGTCTGACTATATCAAAAAGCTGACAATCTTGAATGGACATCTATCCCTTCTCTCCTCTCCACCCCTCAAAACGCCAGGGCATGTCAGTGTGGTCCCCTTACCCTGGAAAGGGTGGGCTGCACTGATAAGGAGGCCACAGAGGGGTTCCTGGTGGACATAAAGAAGCATGGTGAATAGGCCTTTTTCTTTCACAACTTCTCACATCTGCTAAATGAAAGAAAATTATTCAGAGACTTGTTAAAGGCAGTAAGGAAGACTTTATTCAATGTTAGGAATAACGCTTAAAATTCTAAGGAAATTGAACACTTGAACAAAGGATTTTTAGTAAAGCAATTTTATTTTTGCGCAGAGGGGTGCCTCCTTGGCCAGTTGTCATGAGAGCACACCTGAACAAAGAGGCACAAGAGCCTTTATTTTTGATACAATTCTTGCCCCTGTACCCTTTCCCCATTGGCCGGGGTCGGGTCATACAATCTAAACTAATTTCGGTTGGCTAAACATTTGATATTTTCTAGATAGGGTGGGCACGTAAAAGAAAGTGGAGGGGAAGGGGAAGGGGAAGGGGTGTCTGTAATGAGCCAGAAAGTTAGTTGTTTTTTTTTTAATAAGGAAAGGAATGTGAGCTGGTACTGATAATGCTTGATACTGTGGCATGCCTGGGCATTTAACAAAGGCAAGAAGGAAAAAAGGAGAAAAATGTAGGGGGGGATTATGAATTAAAGAATAAAAGATTGATCAGATTATTTGAAGAGAAACCTCATCATATCCCACATTCAAGAAGGGAACTACTGTAAAGGGGTCTTGCAGTATGGGAGAGAGACTGGGCTCAACTCTGAAAAATGGGGATTTATTTATAGCCAAGGAGCATAGGAGTGGGATGGGGAGTGGATGGAAAACATGAAGAAGAGACATCCAAGGTAGGGGGAGTTTTGCTAAACTGACCTAATAGGATTCTTGCTGAAGACAGGCCAAGGTGATCAGATATCACTGGGGGATAATGGAAGATGAGGAATTTGGTCAGCTATAGAGGGTGATCTGACATTGAGAGTGAAGAATTCTCTCTAAACTGACAAGAGTTTTGCTTTTGCTAAAACTGGGTGATGCAAGCCCAACGAGGACAGATATTGAATGTCAAGGTCTAGAGGGCTTAGAGAAGCCTGACTAAAGTTTGGTTAAGATCAGAGTCTTTGGCCGAGCACAGTGGTTTACGCCTGTAATCCCAGCACTTTTGGAGGCCGAGGCAGGTGGATCATGAGGTCAGGAGATCGAGACCATCCTGGCTAACACGGTGAAACCCTGTCTCTACTAAAAATACAAAAAATTAGCAGGGCGAGGTGGTGGGCGCCTGTAGTCCCAGCTACTCGGGAGGCTGAGGCAGGAGAATGGCATGAACCTGTGAGGCGGAGCTCGCAGTGAGCCAAGGTCGCGACACTGCACTCCAGCCTTGGTGACAGTGAGACTCTGTCTGAGAAAAAAAAAAAGATCAGAGTCTTTGTCACATCATTCCCTCCCCTCTATCTCTGTTACCTCTGAAGACAAACATGCAAATACCAAGTTGACCTAATGTAATACTATTGGGCCATATGTAGGTAATCTTAACATTTTAGAGTTGGAAGAGGACTTTGAAACCACTCACTGCCTTATCTGACAAATTAAGAAACGGGGGTGGGGGTTCCTAGAGGCAAGGTGACTGCGAGATGGAGCAGGGACCCCTCTTAGAGGCCTCCAGAGAAATAAAGGAAAAATCTTGAGTTTTTTTCAAGGAAAATTCCAGGCACCTACCTAGCCTTGAGAAGTTAATGAACATCCTAATAAGCAAGAAGATAGTAATAATTTAAGCAATAGTGTCTCAAGCAAGTTAGAGTCACAAGGTGATTTGTGACTCTAATGATCATATCTTAGCATATGTTATTGAGTCGCTTTTCAGATACCCAGACCCCCATCAGGTGGAAAATGCCAACTGCTGTCACATAGAGCTCAGATAATGGGGCAGTGAGGACTGACCAGTGTTTGTTGTTCTAAATTTCTTCCTGACGGGCTTCAAGAGAGTCGCACCCTCAGGCCAAACCCTTAATTAACATTGCTTCCTACCGACCCTAAGTTTTTAGACGAAGCCTTGCTCCCTTCACCAATTGCAAATCAAAGAATCTCTGAATCCACGTATGACCTATAAGCCCTGTCTTCAAGATATCCTGCCTTTTTGGGCCAAACCAATGTTTAACCTCTACGTATTGATTTACTATTTTGCCTGTAACTTCTGCTTTCCTGAAATGTACCCCTGCCCTTGAAAACTCTTGCTTGTAAACCACTGGGGAGTTTGGATCTTAAGTGTGAGCTGCCCAATCTTCCTTGCTTGGAACTCTGCAATAAATGCCTCAGTTTCTTTTGCTGCAAACTTCAGTGTCAGTGTTTGGCTTTTTTTTTTTTTCATGTTGGGTAAGTGGACCCAAGTTCAGTTCAGTAACAACTGCCTAAGATCCTGTAACTGCCTGATGGGTTCATTTTACCCGCTGCCCAGATTAAGCTTATTTATCAGGACTGGGGAATTCTAATAGAGAAAGAGTTTAAGACAGGTAGAGCTGGCTAACTGGGAGACTGGAGTTTTATTATTACTCAAATCAACCTCCCTGAAAATTCAGAGGCTAGGGTTTTGTTTGTTTTGTTTTGGTTTGGTTTTTTTGGGATGGAATTTCACTCCTGTTGCCCAGGCTGGAGTGCAGTGGCACGATCTTGGCTCACTGCAACCTCCGCCTCCCGGGTTCAAGCGATTCTCCTGCCTCAGACTCCCAAATAGTTGGGATTACAGGCGCCTGCCACCACACACAGCTAATTTTTGTATTTTTAGTAGAGATGGTGTTTCACCATGTTGGCAAGCCTGGTCTCGAACTCCCAACTTCAGGTGATCCACCTGCCTTGGCCTCCCAAAGTGCTGGGATTACAGCCATGAGCCACAGCACCCAGCCAAGGCTAGTGTTTTTTAAAGATAGTTTGGCAGGCAGGGGGCGAGGGAATGGGGAGTGCTGATTGGTTGGGTCAGAGATGAAATCACAGAGGGTCAAAGCAGGTTCTTCCTGCTATCTTCTGTTCCTGGATAGGATCGCAGAACAGGTTGACCCAGATTACTGGTCTGGGTGGTGCCAGCTGGTCCATCAGAATGCAGGGTCTGAAAAATATCTTGAACACCAATCTTAGGTTTTACAATAGTGATGTTATTCATAAGAGTGCCTGGGGAGGTTAGGAATCTTGTGGCCTCTGGCTGCATGACTCCTGAGCCATAATTTCTAATCTTGTGGCAAATTTGTTGGTTTTACAAAAATGGTCTGTTCCCCAAGCAAAGAGGGGGTTCATTTCAGGGAAAGGGCTGTTATCATAGTTGTTTCAAAGTTAAGCTATAAATGAAATTCTTCCCAAAGTTAGTTCAGCCTATGCCCCAAAATGAACAAGGGCAGCTTGGAGGTTATGAGCAAGATGGAGTTGGTCAGGTCAGATCTCTTTAACTGACATAATTTTCCTATGTCAGATTTTTCTCACCGTCATAATTTTTGCAAAGGTGGTGTCAATCCCAGCATGTTAACGGGAGAGTAAGGGCGGAAAGCCTTGGAGCCTGATGATCCCAGAGTCTGCTCTCCCTGAAGGTAACATCCAAACACAGTTTTTATTTCAAAGAGAGAACAGGGGAAAAAGATGGTAGAAGGAAGGAGCATGAAGATCTCTTATACCTCAAACTCATCAAGCTTAGTCAATTCCTGCTCATTTCTGAAAGGGTGGAAACATTGAAATGATAGTTTCCTGTTGAAGGTAAGAGGAAAAAAGAGTGAGAGGAAGAGAAAGAAATGATTTAAATTGACATGCTTTGTCACGATTGCTTGCAAAGACCATCACTTTTTGATGATACTGCAGCCTTATCAGGAAAAGTAATTTATAGATACCATTTCAAATGGGAGGGGAGAAATCCTACAAAACCTAACAGCACACAAATGCAGAAGGAAATATTGCTTAGAAAAAAAAAAACCCCAACAAAACAATAAACTTCTCCTGTACTTTATATGTTGAAAATGTTTGACTGTAAATCCTGACTTTGACATTCATTCCAGATCCATTTTACAGGCAGCCCACAGACTCAACAGGGCGAGAGAAAACACTAAATCATAATTACCTCATAAAAGCCAAGCTTGTTTCTCTGAATGCTTGAGAACTGGCATAGCTTCTCAAAATATCATAAATTTATTGTGTTCTCTCCTGTTTTACTTAACAGCCAATGAATGTTACTGTTTAAAAGAATTAAAGCCAGGGCTTCGAAGGGGGTGAGAATGGAGGAAAATATTATAAAAGTCTTTAAACCTTGGCTAGCATGTAGATACTGTGTGTAGATTCAGCCCTCATTATGAAACGGCTCATTAAAAGACTCAGCTGAAGGAAAATCCTGCCATGATCCATACCCGTTGATATGATCTTGTTCTTATTAGCATCCTCAAAAGGAAAACAGTTTTCAACACAATCTTGAGTTGGTTTTAATGTCCTATAGGATGACACCAGAGGTGACGGCAGGAAGGCTTGCTCCTCTCTGGGAAGCTCTTCTGCAGGTGAAGGATCTGGGCCACTGGTACAGCCAATGCCATTATCTGGAGCAGCAGAATGGATCAAAACAAGGCAGACACACAATGCCCCCCACATCCCCACGGGGTCCTGAAGCCCCCAGTCACTCTGCATTCTGACATGGCCCTATGAGTTTGTCATACATTCCAAATGAAGACAAGACAATCCACATTTGTTCCAAGAGTTCACCTGCAACTTGTCATTCTCCTAAAGAGAGTCCCATAAATTGTCACTGTAAATTCTCAGCAAAGACTGAAGCAGGTGGGTTTGGGGATTCCTGGGCAGGGCACAAACATGAGCATGAAATGATATAGAATCAGGTGTGTTCAGGTCCCAACTTACCTCTTGTGTGGCCTTGCGCAAGGCACGCTGTTTGGACCTCAGTTGTTGGCTCTGGAAAATGAAGATGTCAGTGACCATCCATGACCTAAGTGGCAAAGCCATTCTAAAATTACTTAGAATGCTACTTTTGTTTTATATAAATCTCTCTTTACTATTGTATCAGGGTGACAAGGAATAATGCTTGGGCACTAGGATACATATCCCAACAACTGGAAAGGCAGTGTGGCCATTAGGACAGATGACAGCCTGCAACAGATGAAGGCCCAGTATGGCTGGCCCAGTATGAGCTGGCTCAATGTCCATCCTGGCCCCTGATGACTGTGAAGATAGCCCTGAGCAGAGGCCTTGGAAGAGAAAGGAAAGCAAGATGATGCAGACAGCCAGGAGATGGCCAAGAGGAAGGTGAGCGTCTGAAACTGGACTTAAAGAGAGAGCTGAACTGGACTTGAGCAGAAGGAGCATGTGCTTTGGAGCCAGACTCACCTGGCTCAGATCACATCTCGGTGCCGAATATATGGCTTGAGGCAAGTTACTCAATTTCTCTCAGCCTCTATTTTCCCACCTGTAAAATGGAGATAAAATGAAGTGTCATCTATGAGACAAAACTAAACATGAGGCAAGATATATCATGTGTCAAAATTTATTCTTTTTTTTTTTTTCTTTTTGAGACAAGGTCTTGTTCTATCACCTAGGCTGCAGTGCAGTGGCATGATCTTGGCTCACTGCAACCTCCGTCTCCTGGGCTTAAGCAATCCTCCCACCTTAACCTCCCAAGTAGCTGGGACTACATGCGTGAGCCACCACACCTGGCTAATTTTTATATTTTTTGTGGAGATGGGGTTTTGCCATGCTGGCCAGGCTGGTCTTGAACTCCTGAGCTCAAGCAATCTGCCCTCCTTGACCCTCCAAAGTGCTGGGATTACAGGCCTGAGTTATCATGCCCAGACAAAATTTATTCCTGATAATTCTTCAAAATGTTTATAAAGTTTCTCTCCTAAATCATCTCCCAGTGGGTATACACGGCCAGCTTTTCTTCCACAGTGAAACAGATCAAATTCTTGGCCTCAGTTTACAGGCCATTTTGGATGAAAAAAAATTAGATTGTAAATTGAATCATCAGAATCATTCTGGTGTTGTGACATGTTCACACCATGGGAAGCATCCCGGGAACAGAGATAGTTTGAGGGAACTCACATCTTGTGCATTCTTTGGGTCTAAGTTCACTGAGTGGAATTGGGAGCAAAATCACTTGTGCAAATTATATTAAATTCATCCTCTAGGTCCTCTTCCTCCATCCCTCTCTCTTGGTCAAGTATGCACAGTTGATTTTGTCTAGGTTGAATAAGCCAAATGTGTGCAACTCCATTATAATTGTAGACATACCTTGCATGCTTGTTGTGAAGAGTAGGAGAGTTAGTGCATGTGAAGTATACAGTGTAAGACTTGATATGTACTCAGTCAATTCATGTTACCATTGTCCTCCCTCACATTTGGAAGGCTCTATTTGTGACCACTCCTGGAGAGAATTAGACAGACACGCTATGACAACCTGACCCTCCTCTAACATCTTGATCCTTGAATAACCTTGAAGGTGGCAAGTAGTTAAAAAGGAGGAAGGAAGGAGGGAAGTTGAAAGAGGAGGAGAGGAAGAAAGAAGGAAGACCAGAGAATATCTGTGTCGGTGGAAAGCATTTCAGTAATGATAATACTGATGTCTGGTATCGCTGGGGAGATGTGACAGCTTGAGTCTATGTGTACTACCAGCTAATATTAATGAATTATTTATCGATCATTTTCCTCACCAGGGACCAGGCATTGTACTATGGCTTTTCATGTGTGACAGAAAAAAAAAAATCAGTAATAACTGTTATTAGAAGACCATGAGCTCTATGGACGAAAAAGGGAGAGTTTTATTTTCTATAAAAAACGATCTGCAGACTGGGGAGGCACAGCCTTCATCATAAGTGAAAGTGTGCTCACCAAGGAACAAAGGGAGGGTCTGGCTTAAATAGGGAAAGTTCTTGCCGTGGTTCTTGATCTGGCTTATTCATGCAAATGGCAGATTTAAACTTGTTCAGTTCTGATTGATCCAAACAGTGGAGCCCTGACTGGGCGGTTTCCAAGCCCAAACCCAGAAGTCTCTTGTCAGATGTTTCTTTCAAATGGCGTGTGTGTGTGTGCGTGTGTGTGTGTGTGTGTGTGTTGGGGCATAGTTCTGATTGCAGTTTATCTTGGCACTGACAACAGAAATTGGCTTGGCTTGATTGTAGAAAGGAGGTCCGGTGACACTTTTACATCTTTGTGAGCTCACAGAGTACATGACCACTCCCTCACCCAGCTATGGCTGCCTGGTTCTGTTTGAATCCTGAGCACCTCAGTTAGCCACAGGGAGTCCATTTTGTCTGTCAGCCAGGGGCATACTTTAAAATAACCCAGAGTCTCTTCCCCTTTCTGTCTGCTCAAAAAAGATTCTGTGCAGCTCTTTTGATCCTTGATTCTTTGCAGAATTGGAATATAGGGCAGAACTGGAACTTTGCATCTAAACTTGGAGGAAAACAGAGCTTGGAAGACCGACAAGTGAACAGTTGATAGTGTCCTGTTCTCCTGTTGTGTACACTGCCGAGGTACTAAGCGTTAGTGTCGTGTTAGGACACATATTGCTTTTCATCCACAGTTCCTGGCTCGTAACTCCCATAGCCCTTGTTCCAGTCTTTTGTTGTAATGTTGGGTGGGGTTAGGCCTCAGGGGCAGCCCTCTAACCTCCTGCCCTCCTTTCATGCTATGTTCCCCCACCTTTCTGACTGTGGGTCTTAAGACCCTTCCATGAGAGGGTCTCACCTTATATCCTAGGGAAAGGAATGGTGACTTCATGAAGCTTCCAGAAAAATCCAAGAGGACAGGTTTCGGGGAACTTCTGGAGAGCTGAACACGGGAAGGTTCCTGGAGGGTGGCGTCCCAGGGAGGGCATGGAAGCTCCGCCCCCCTTCTCCCATGCCTTGCCCTATGCATCTCCTCATCCATTTCTTTTGCTCTCTCTTCTATAATGGACCGGTAGATGTAATAGTGTTTCTAGGGCCTTTGAGCCACTCCAGCAAATTAATCAAATCCAAAAAGGGGGTCATGGGAACCCCAACCTGAAGCCAGTCCATCAGAAGTACCAGAGAGGGCCACACTTGCGCCTTTTTGGGGGGCAGTTTTGGGGACTGAGCCCTCAATCTGTGGGATCTTACAGCATCTCCTGGTAGATGGTGTCAGAACTGAATTAGAGGACACACAGCTGGTGTCTGCTGCTTTGTTTGTGGGGGAAAAAAACCCATGCATCTGGTCACGGAAGTCTTCTGTGCTGATGATTGTAGTGGTGTGAGTGCAGAGGAAAATCACGGTTAGAGAAAGTTTTCCCTACACAAGTAGGCTAGGAATTCCTGTGTGCACCATCTCCATCACCTTTCACGTGAGTATGTCCCTATCACAGCCCCCTCTGGGATGATGTGCCCGCCTCCACTTTCGAGCTGCCGTGTGTCCCATAGCCACCAGCTACAGATTCCTTCTCTGATGATGAAGAAAAATGGTGACCTAGGGGGTGGTATTTGTGATAACCATCTGTGTCCAGAATTTTATACTGTTTCAGATGTTTATTGCAGCATATTAAGAAATTAGGACATCAGATGCACCTAAAGTTTTTTTTTTTAAATGGCCTGCCTTATTTCCACTGCCCATCCATAGACTTCTGGCACGGGAACAGCAGGCAGCTGGGAATCTCTATTTGGATAGCAGAAGAGGCAGAGGCAGGGGCAGGGCATAGAAGAGCACTCTACCCAAACCTAGGTAACAGCCCTGAGGTGTGGGTGCAATCTAAGTGACCGTTCAATACACCTATCCAAAGTGACACCCAGCCTTCTCCTCCCTACCCACTATGACTCCCTGGGGAATTGCCTTCAGCCTCCACCATCTGGTGATGCTTGATGTTTTCTGAAATAACAGAGACTGTGAGTCTTCTGAGTTTATAACAATAGCTACCATTTCTCCCTGTCCTGGGCACTTAACAAGCGCTATCTCTAGTCCTTATAACTGCATGATCTAGAGGACCACCAAGGTCCATATCACCGTTCTACTGACTCTACCACACAAATCTCTCATGGTGCTTTGTAAAGGTCTATTCTTACTCTGTCTTCCTTGGAAATGAGAAATGTAGCACATCTCTGTTAAGAGACATTTTAGATTCCTGGAAAAAAAATTCACCTTTTTTGCCTTCTCTTCTCCAGGGTGAGTAATTCTACTCTCTCAACATTTCCTTGTGAATTTCTTCTCAAACTTTCTTGTCATCATTTTTGTTTCCTACTGTGCTTAGAAAACGAGGTCCATGTTTTTCAAGTCCCTTTCTAAAGCACAATGATTCATTTTGTTATACATTTCTGATTAGTACAATATGTCTGGTACAGTCTAAATTCAACTTTAAAGTTAAATTTTAAATTGTATTAAATGTGGTCATTTGATACAAAACTGATAATTTAATCCACATTATTGCCCCCATAGCTAATATTTCTTTTGCTATAAAATCATAGCTAGAAAAATTAAAAGATCTAATAAGCCAATTCTCAAACCCCCAACCATTAAAACCGAGAAACAGACGGAGTTCTGTAATATATTTCGGCTTTTTGTTTTAGTGTATATTCTTTCTTCCTCTGCAGGCTGTAATAGGAAAACAAAGTGAAACAAAAAAACACTGGACTTGAACCCTTAATTCATTACTTTTGTCTTCATGACCACAGGCAAATCATTGAACCTGTCTGTGTACTCATTTCCTCATTTATAAAATGATAGGGTTGGATTATATTGAGGGAGTTTTCAAAACTGTTTTTTAGCCATGAAAATCTTTCTTAAAAGAAATCTTATGTAGAAGCACATAACACACAAAGCAGAGAAGAAGCAGGAATGGTGAGACCCTAAGATTCACCCGCTTAGACACCCCTCACCCAACTCCCACCCACCCCCACCTCGTTTTCACAATTTATGATTTCATATACAAGCACAGCTTTTGTATGTGTGAACATTTACATTCATAGCACATATCTTGGATAGGATATACATGCAAGCGTGTGAGTTTATTTGTGTTTATATGAGTATATAGAAGAAATCCAAATCTCCCCAAGCTCCTTCAATCTGTGACTAGGAATGAGATCAGATATCACTAGCTCTGAGTCACAAAGTCACAAGCATAAGGCTGGATGGCAACCCCATGCATACTACCCCCAAGGATTCTGGGACCACCCCCCAACCCCGGGACAGTAGATGGTTTCTCTTGTGCTCATTAATAAGTGTGGGCTTGGCAGATACTGTTGCTTGTCCCCTGGTGCTCCCCTTGCCCCACTGTCTGTCCCACTGGATACCAAAATCTCTGCTCCTGCTGACTGCTGTCTCAACTGCTGCTCTTCCGGCTTGGAGTCGCTGGGTGATCAGCCTGGCCAGGTCGCCCCTTGCTGATTGACGGTTTCCTGCCCTCACTGCCCTGCTGAGCAGGTGGTGCGGTGCGGCTGCTCCATTGCAAACAGCGCCCCCAGCAGGCAGCGCTGCTATGCGACCTTGGCTATCTGAGCAGCAGCACCCCCAGTGCCATGAGTACTTTCCAAACCAAATTCTTGCAATGCGGTGGGAAGAATGCATCCTTCTTAGAAACAGTGTCACTAAACCCACAAGATTTTAAGAGTTTAAAGAAAGAGCTCTTTTAGTTTTTATTTACAACCTCCTTCCTCAATTGCCTTCTCCTCACAGGACTCAAACAAGTGGCCAGCGGGTACTGGGCCAGAAGATACATCTGAGTGACTGAGACCACACTATTCTTAGGACTGCCCCTCCCAGAGAATAATTATGACCATTTTACTGAGTCAGATTCATTGTCACTGGTTCGTTTCTCCCCTAATGCTCTCCCAAGAGGCTTCTCAGTTTCCTCTACAATATAACTTCTGTTTTCTAGAGTGTCCCAGCATGCTGACCCGACCTGGGCTCATCCTGGGCCCTCCATCACACAGAGCTGAAGCGATGCCTGGCTATGGTGTAGTCTCGTATAGATCAGGAACCGCCCATTCTTAGCATACCCTACACATGGAGGATGGGAATCTTCTAACACAATTTCATTTTAGGGTGCATATGGAAGCTCTTCAAGTATGGTAGATAGATAGATACCAAATACCTAAGTCTTTGGCTGGAATCAAACTGGAAACCTTGAGAACAATCAAACTATGCTTGGGAGCAAGAGGCTTCAGATTCAGTTCTAAGTAGAACACTATCCTATTCCATGATACTGCTGTGGATTTTTGGCAACTGGTTTTAGAAATAATACAAATAAAACCTATGACCAAGAAATCTACCGAGGTCAACATTTCCCAAAGAGTGGTGCTATGTTTCCTGAAAATAAACAAATATACAAGCAGGTCTGGGAAACCCCACAACCTATAGCACTATCTTACATGTTTTTTGGCATGCTCAAAATTAGAGAGATACTGAGTAAGGAGGAAGCTTTTGAAACTTTCTATAACACATTGTTTTAAAATATATTGACAATGAAACTCTAAAAATATCTAACACTCTGAATGTTCCTCAGAAGTCATGTTTTATGGAGTGTATTTTGAGAAAATTTAGCCTAAAACAGGGTGAGCAAACTATTTTTTTGAAATTAAAAGTTCAGTTTTGTGGGCCCCACATATAGAACCTACCACAATTACTCCGCTGTTGTAGCATGAAGGCCATTGTAGATGATACATAAACAAATAAGCTTCACCGTGTTCCAGTAAAACTTGGATTATGGCCACTCAAACGTAAATTTCATATAATATTCTATGTCACAAAATATTATCCTTTTGACTCTCTTCAACTATTTAAAAGTACAGAGAACATTCTTAGTGCAAAGACTGTAAAAAACAGGGGATGAGCTGAATTTGACCTGTGGGATGTACTTTGCTGATCCCTGTCTTAGAAGTACTAAAAGCTAGTGAAATCGCAGTGCCTGTACAGATACCTGAACCTGAAGTCCATGGAGCAGAAACCCTGTGTGTTTATTCTCCACTGAATCTCCATGCTCTGTCTGCTGCATGGCCAGTGCCTGTTTGGTGAATGCTCATAAATATTGAATGAGGGAATAACCAGCAGTTCAATTTACCTGTCAGTAACATGTGCAGAATTTGGTTTCTCAAAGTTGTTTTCTTTTGTCGCTGTTGTTGTTTTGGCCCTGTTTGCTGGGTATCTCAGTGTAAGTAGTAAATAGAATCCATGGCTCTGATGTTATTCAATGCCAGAAAAGAATTTCACACCTTTTGAAACACTATTTGATGGCAGGCAAAGACTGTTGCAGCTGCCTGGGGTATGAATTAAGGCCAATAATAATTAGACTGACTCTCTAGAGTAAAGATAAATGTATGATACAAGTTTCCCTGTCTTCACGACATGGGAATTTAGATGCAGTGGCAATACTTACAGCCAAGTAGATAACTGTTTCTAGGTATTTCTTTTATTCATGGCTGCCTTTGTACTTACATTTTGGAAAGGGCTTGCCTTGGTGTCACCCCTGCTTGTCTCCTTCAGTCTCACCAAAATCTGTTACGACAAGTCTGATTTCCATGCTAGGAGTCTTGTCCTTTGGAAGTTTCCATTGGTTTTACGGAGTTGTTGGATAATACCTGCTTACCTGGCGGTGGTCCCATCTTTTCATGAATGCATTCCCTACCCACTCCAGCTCTCTGCACTCTGCAGAACTCCTTCCTCTGGACATACTGATTGATTGATGGACTGATTAATTAATTCATTCATTTGACAAATGTTCACTCAGCAGCTGATATGTGCCCCACACACTGCCATGCACTGGAAATACAAAAACGAAAAGCAAAAACAAGAACTCCTCCCTTCAAAGCATTCACAATTTAATGGGAAAGCCAGAGAAACAGTCCACGAGGAAAACTTCAGAACTCGGAACAGCTCTCCACAAGCTCTTAACCACACACAGCCTGATAGCTTTCCTTCTCTTTTCAGGGGCTGATGCTGCAGCTCTCTGACTGATTATGGATTCTTGAGGGCAGACACCATGCCCTTGGTCTGTTTCACCTCCAAAATGCCTAACAGAGTGAATACTTTTATACTGATTCTCATGAAGTGTCTGATGATAGATTTTTGCACCACGAACAAACTAGAGAATCGACACTGAAGACTTTATTTTGCAGTTTTGACACTGTGCGCTTTGTTTCTTCATGATCTGGGTTCACCCAGACTTTTGCACTTTGGGTGACCAGTGGATCCAATGGGGGAAAAAGCAACAGTGGGATCTGCAGCCTACTCTGGTTGGTGCAGGGCAGGTAACAGGGCAGTAGTAAACAGGAGAGGGTAAGAAGGGATGAGCTGTTTCCTTGATATCCATCCTCCCTCCCAGGATACAGGCCAGAGTGTTTGGTGGACTCTTAGTAACTGAAAGAACCCACCTTCTAGGACTAGGTGTACCCCATCCCAGCAAGAGTGCCCCACCAGATCAGATCCTGTTGCAGATGACAAGGGGGAGGTGGTTAGACTTTGTTTCTGTAGCATTTTCAAAACAATAGAGCAGCTTAGGCAAAATGGCTGTGCCAAGGAGTGAAGCAAGAGCCTAGGCAGCATGAGCCCTACCCAGTCCCTGCCATCACCATTGCCAGGCATATGTCACCCTGGCCACCTATTCAGCATGGGTACACTGGGCACTCATGGCTCGGTTTTACCCAGAGAGGTGGTGGGGTCTAGTGGTAGGGCTTTGGAATTAAGGATACATACATTGATGCAGTGTCTTATTCTCTCTTTGCAATCTGGGACAAAAGACTTTTTCCCTCTGAGCCTTAGATTTTGCATCCATAAAAGGAGGGAAATAATACCTTTTGCTGTTGTCATGAGGATTGCATGAGAGAATGTTTGTAAAGAGGAAGAAAAGGTGCACCACAAATGGTACCTGGTGTTATTATCTTTCTACTACAGGGCTGTTTTCAGTTCCATGTTCACTTCTGATCAATGCAGTATGTGGATCTGTCAACTCTCCAGACTTCCCTGTTTTCCGCAGTGGGAAGTCAGCCTGATTCACAATGGTATCACCTCCTGGCTCTTGGGTTTGACTTTCCAGAGATCTAATAAGTGGCTCCCATTCCTCCATCGGTTTCTCATCTTCATCCATTGCAGTTCCAGATTACAGATGTCTCCTGCCCTTATAGAATATGGGTTTCACTATTGTTTCTCATTCTCTTTATTGTTTTGGAGCGATTCTTGAAAAAAGGAGAGTGGAACCATCTTTGCTCTGTCATCTAAAAACTTGGTTACCTTTTCAGATACATTGATAAGCACAACACATAATAAGACATGTTAGAATTCAAAAACAAATCCAGATCTTCCCCCTACTCTTTCTCTTTCCCTAGTCCCTTAAATATAAAAGGGACACAATAGCTCGCCTATTCAAGTGGCAAGGCCCGTTTCCTCACCATCAGCACATTCCTCCTGCCCTCTCCCACAGGCCCTGCTCATGGATGGGGCAGTCAAGGCTGGGATTTGACTGACTTGCAGGAATGTGGAATGTAACCGGAGGGAGGAGAACATTACAACAAACCAGCTGCTCTTCAGAGGTTGATTTTCATTTTGGAAAATAGCAGAAGCAATTATCATGGCTCATTAGGAGGCCTAGCATACCGGCTGCAAAACTATATTTGGAAAACTGTATTCACTTAGCTCTAAAGTGGTGAGAGGGTGAGGACAGGCGGGAGGAAAAGGAAGGACAGACCAGGGCCTGCCTGGGCTTAGATTCAGTCTGCAAAAAGGTGATCTGAATTGAATTCTGAGAGGGACAAGAGATGAATGGAGCTGGGACACTAGGCCAAGCATAGCCCTGAGTCTGGAGGTGCTGAACACTGGGCGGCTCCAGCCTTTTGGAAAATTGGGCTCGCTCAACGACAGACCCACCTACCAAGTGGGAAGTGGGTAAAAGATGTACTCTGTTCAATGTGCCTTGCTGGGAACGTTCAGATGTCCCCTCAGCCTCCCCAGGGAGCTGTGGTGTGTGTTTGGGGTCTACTCTGAAGTTTGCTACTCAGTTACATCAGGGGGCAAGGACCTGTGGAACAGGTTTCCATCTTGGTCATTCTGCTGCCTTCTGACTAGGAAGAGTTGACTCCACAGGCCACTAGCTCATGTCTTCTGTTTGCTCCTAACCAAAGGAAGGGTCTTGTGATGGGGATGACATAACCAGGTCAAGAAAAGGATGGTTTGGGAAGCTTATGGGGGTGAAACTACCCCAGAATGAACTTGAGAAAAAATCACCTCTGTTTTCTTTTGTTGGATGAGAACGTTTTGGGCCCTTCATATAAGTTGTGGGATGGACCTATTTAATTTGCACTTGAATATCCCCCAGTGTTGGTATGGTCCTTTATATTTTATGAAGTACCTTTACCAGGGCTGGCTGCTGAGAACTGCTTCCTGCTTAAAAAACAAACAAACAAACAAACAAAAACTGGGAGCTCCTCCAGTAAGGATAAAGATGGAGAAAATGATCTTTATATGTCAGGTATATCAGCATTCAGGTCCTTTGGGATCTGACAGCCCTGATAATGTGTATTAGTTTCTCCTGCCCCATTGATGACATCTGGCTTTCCCATAAAATATCTTACTTAAACTCGGGTAGATATGATTGTTTCCATTTTAAAGGGGAATAAAATGTTCAGAAGTTGTTGTTGTTGTTGTTGTTGTTGTGACGGAGTCTCGCTCTGTCACCCAGGCTGGAGTGCAGTGGTGAGATCTTGGCTCACTGCAAGCTCCGCCTCCCCGGTTCACGCCATTCTCCTGCCTCAGCCTCCCCAGTAGCTGGAACTACAGGCACCCGCCACCACGCCTGGCTAATTTTTTGTATTTTTAGTAGAGATGGGGTTTCACCATGTTAGCCAGGATGGTCTGGATCTCCTGACCTCGTGATCCACCTGCCTCGGCCTCCCAAAGTGCTGAGATTACAGGTGTGAACCACCGCACCTTGCCCAAGAAGTTTTAATGACTTGTCCAGGGCCACCCATCTACATAACAGCATGGCTGAGACATGAAGTCAGGTAACTCTAGTTATTTCTACTTGACCATAGGGCATTAGTCAGGAATGTGTCATCTGTCACAGAAAATCTCGGTGGCAAGAACTGAAACATGTAGAGATTGACTTATCTCTAATCTAGGGAACTTGCCACAAAGAAGCCAGCTTTTCTTGTCTTTCTGGTCTACTGTCTTTACTTAGGTACAGCATCTGCCCTCAAACTCATAAGATGTCTGCTGTTCCTCTCAGCATCCCATCCTCATTCAATGAAGAAGAAAGGAAGGAGGTTGAATTTGTTTCCTAAAGCTCCCCTAACAAAGTACCGCACTCTGGGTGGCTTAAACAACAGAGATTGTTCTCTCACAGTTCTGGAGGTTGGAAGCCTAACATCAAGGCATGGGCAGGGCCAGGCTTTCTCTGAAGGCCCTACGGGGGAGTCCTTCCCTGCCCCTTCTAGCTTCTGTAGGGCCAGCAATCCCTGGTGTTCCTCGGCTTGTAGGTGCAACTCCCCAATCTTTGCTTCAAATGGCCTTCTAACCTGTATGTCTGTGTGACTCCATCTCCAAATTTCCCTCTTCTTATAAGGATACCAGTTCTATTGGATTCATGGCCTGTCCCGGTACAGTAGGACCTCATTTTAACTTGATTACATTTACAAAGACCCTATTGCCAAATAATGTCACAGGTATAGGTGAACATGAATTATTTGGGGACACTATTCAGCCCATTACAAAGGGTTAGAGGCAATACCAGCAGACTTCTGTGTTGTACGGCCACCTCGGTTGCATAGGATCCTAGAAAACCAAGTAGAGGTTGGTAAGGGACAGAGAAGTTGCAATAGAGATTAGGTAAGTTTGACACACATTGCTATTGTTTAATTCACTTTTTTGTTTCAGATGAAAGGAAACTAGCATCTAATGAGATCACACAGTAGGCTTGCCTCATTTTTGCATTATCTAATTTACTATTGTAGATCCTTTCCATGCATCCTCCCTATTGGACTGTCAGCTCAGTGAAGGCAGGGGCTGCATCTTCTATTTCTTTTATATAATATACAAATTAGAGGTCAGTACACATAATGCTGGATAAATTACTGCCCAGCCTTCCTCATTCTGTGCTCACTCATTCTTTCCCAAGAGCCTCCTGATGTCAGCCGTGGACACTGACCCATGTTTGATATTGTTTTCCTCTCCAATTCCTCCTCCTCCTTTTTCTTCTGTTCCACCTCCTTCATCTTTGTTTTGTTTTGTTTTGTTTTTGGTAAAGGAAATGAGCGACATTATATTTCATAAGTAATTCAGTGGGCTGCTCCTCCCGTGGCTCAGCAAATAAATTCCTTCTAGGTTCTCCTGCCTTGGAGGAACTGTGGATGAAAATGACTACAGAATAAAGGATTATTACTTCAGACGAGATCGGGGGCATTCAGGGTGGTATGGCTGTAGACAGGATTATTACTTCAAGAAGCTGAATTCTATTAATAATCCTAAAATGAAATCCAGGCCTGTATGCTCTATTTTCTATAGCCCTTGATGGAATGTACACACTTACCCTCCCAGTTTCTAGAACCACTCTAATTTGTCTAATTTGTCTTTTGTTTTAGAAACAAGGTCTTGCTCTGTCACCCAGGTTGGAGTGCAGTGGTGCAATCCTAGCTCACTGCAGCCTCAACCTCCTGAATTCAAGCCATCCTCCTGTCTCAGCCTCCCAAGTAGCTGGGACCACAGGTGTGCTCCACCACACTTGGCTAAATATTTTTATTTTTTGCAGAGATGAGGTCTTTCTTTGTTGCTCTTGCTGGTCTCAAACTCCCAGGCTTAAGCAATCCTCCCAAAGTATTGGGATTACAGGCATGACCCACAGCACCCAATCCACTCTAACTTGTCTTAATCCTTGTCTTTCTGAAGGAGAAGGAGAGAGATACCAGAATCAGATTCAATATCTAAATATCATACCTATGAAGATATATATATATATATACCATGAAGATATATATATATAGATATACCTATGATATATATATATAGATATACCTATGATATATATATATATATATATGTGTGTGTGTGTGTGTATATACATATATATGTAGAGGGAAGAATGCACAGGTAGATGGAGAGATGGACAGGGTATGTGAAAGAATCCTGTGGGGTTCTGAGTGTGTCATTCTCACTCCCTTGCTTTGGACCAGTGATTCTGCCTCCCTGAAGTTGAGTGGACCAAGGCTGAGCACCTGGCCCAAAGGCAGCCAGCGATGGCAGTAGCAGTGGCCCAGAGGCGCACAACAGAAGAACTGCCTGGGGAGACTCTTCAAAATACCAGATGTCCAACTCAACACCAGATGGAGATTCTAATTCATTATCTATCAGTCAGTCTTCAGGAAGTGTATTCTGATAAAAGCTGCACGGTTGCTTCTGATACGCTGCCCTGTAAGGAACCCCTATGTGCTGATTTCAAAGCCAATTTTGCCCAAAAGGGGTTTCCTCTACTGGATAGTGGTTAAGTAAGCCAATCAAATCCTTTCTGGAAGAGTGTGACCTCAGGACACCCACGGAGAGTTGGTTACCCTGGAGAACTCAGAGCAACAGAAGAGGTCAGACCATAACTCTGTCTCATGAAAATGCAGACATGGCGTAGGGAGGGATGGGTGCATGATCTGAGGGGATCGTGGACGGAGTTGATACTGTGCCGTCAGAGGAGCCGTCAGGTTACAGGGCTTCAGCTGCATCCTAAATAGTGAAGCACTGTGTTTCATTTCTCAGTAGGGCCTGGTTGCGGGCTCCAGAGATTATTTCCTCCTCCCTTATTTGCTGACATAGCCCTCATAAAAGCTCACTCACTCAAGTAATCTGAATATGTCTCTCTGTTCAGACATATGGAGAGAACTTAACAGAAAAATCGCTGGATGTATTCATTTGACACTCCTCAAACATTCATGATATATGTATTCTTCACCAAAGAAGAGGCGGTGGACAAGACAGACAGCGTCCCTCTCTGCATGCAAGAAGGTTAATAAAACAACTCGAAAGAAATCATGAAGATGGTTTCAGATGGTGGCAAGTGCTGTATTAGAGACTGATGGGAGAGCAGCAATACTTTGGATTGCTTGGCCAGGGGAGACCTCGCTGAGGAAGTGGCGTTAGGGCTCCCTACCTACATATCTATGTCCTTACCATGAGAGCTGTGATTTTAGCCTTAAAAGGTTTCTTAGAGATCATCTTTTGAATTGTTTCATTTTACAGGCCAGGAAATAAGCTCAGAGAAGGATGTAATTTGTCCATAGTCACACAGCAAGTTAGGACCAGGACATAGAATTCCTGTGCTCTCCGGCCGGGCGTGGTGGCTCACGCTTGTAATCCCAGCACTTTGGGAGGCCGAGGTGGGTGGATCAGAAGGTAAGGAGTTTAAGACCAGCCTGACCAACATGATGAAAGCCTGTCTGTATTAAAATTCAAAAAAAATTAGCTGGGCGTGGTGGCGGGCACCTGTAATCCCAGCTACTCGGGAGGCTGAGGCAGAGGTTGCAGTGAGCTGAGATTGCAGCACTGCACTCCAGCCTGGGTGACAGAGCGAGACTCCATCTCAAAAAAAAAAGAATTTCCGTACTCTCCTCATTCCATGCACTGCCCACCACCCCAACCTCTCTCTCTGTGGAGGGCTCTGTGGGGGTTGTAATTGCTCTTCCCATGGATTATATCTGTGATTTTAAAAAGGAGATGGCTTAAGAGAAAGAGATGAGGCAGAGAGCATAATGCTACTTCCCTTCCAGTGAGTGACAGCGCTTCATTCTTTTCGTCACTTCAGGCCGCTTTCTTTCTTACTTGAAGTGCCCATGGGTTGCAGGACTGCAGCAAAGAATGGAGGGCCAGGCAAATTTTGCAAATTGCAAGGGATTCCTTGATGCAGAAGCATCCCATTATGGTCTGACAGCTGTTCTGAATACCTTCCCCAGAGATTGCAGGGGAGAGGAGTGAGAGAGGGAGGGAGGGAGCATGGAGGAAGGAGAGGCGATCCTCTCTGAATCAATTAGGCATGAACTTCCTCTCAAATTAAAATAATCAGATACTAAAGGCAGTTTGCCTTTAGGTCACCCTTAGATGCTCAGGATCTCCAACAGTTTAAAATTCCTTTCCCCTTCTCCCTTACTGTCGGCCTGGGTTTCTCTCCTCCCTCCACCAAGCTCCCCCACCCTATTCCTTCTCCTTTCTTCTCTCTCTCTCCCTCACACCATGTTACCATTATTGTCAGTAGAACGAGCTGCATGCATGCCAAATCAGGTCATTCACAAATATAGAACAAACGTCTGTCACTACAGATTTACCACTATGACTAAAGCATGGCCCTTCTGTCTGTAGAAAGTGTGCCCATTAGTTTATGTGGGATCCCAGCCCCCATAGACTCTCAACCCTCTACCTTAGCTTACCCGAGGTGAGCATTCTTCCAATAAACACCCGTTTGAGTGTCTTTAATGATTTATTGTGGTGGCTCCATTTGTGTTTCTAAAGCCAAGACACAGTGGAAAGGCTTTTCCACTGAAGCCCCACTCCACCTCCAGCACCAGCCACAAAGCCATTTTCCAGAGTTTAGGGCTGAACTGTAAATATTTGTTCTGGGGTGAAACCTGCTAGAGGATATTTGCCCAAAACAAGGTAGCTAACGACACTCCATTAAAGACAATGAGCATGAACTGAGACAACTTTTCAGGAAAAAAGAACTAATTAAACATTAAACTCTAGTTCCATTATTTAGAATTCTTTTCTGGACATTTTAAATTCAACATGAACATTTACAATGATACAATCAGATCGACTCTCCTTTCAGCTAGATATTAAATTATACTTAATGATAACCAAGAGTAGAAAGAAGTGAGAAGAGAAAAATAATAACAAGGAGAAAAAGGATAAAGTGAATTTTAAATGCCTATTTATCTTTAAAATGGTCTTGCTTTCAAATGGTTTGGTCCATTTTAAAGTACAAGTCCACTGTGAGTTTTCCAAAGAACTAAAGCAAAACCAAAGGCACGCATATGTTTAAATGAGAAAATGGTAATGGTGAATATAATTCAATACTGAATACAAAATCCCCAAGAATGAGTCTTTCTGGGTTTGTTTGACAATTACCGCAGAACAGTCCAAAGAAATTTTAAAGGACCTCCAATACCTAAGATGAAAAACAAAAATAAAAGTGCAACCTGCTATCGACACAATTTGTTTCTATTTTAATTGTTGCGCTGGGTCTATTTTCACAGTTCAAAATTTTTATTTTTTTAAAATAAAGGCAGCAGAAACCACAAATGTTAAAATGAGAAAATCAGACCTGTTATAGCTGCCTCACGACATTCTCTTACCCAATTGACCCCAATTGTAAATGCCTTTGCCAGTTAATTATTACACTATGATTATTGTTATCACCATTGTTATTATTTTGTGCTTTTCTTTGATTGTTAGTTTGCCGGTTCAAGCATCATACATGGGTTATAATAGAAATTCATTACCATGTGATGGCTGTTGGGCAGCCTATGGGAAATGACTTGATAGTCTTGCAAACACTGAATCATGCAGTAAATTAACACTCATTTTCATGCACGTTTGCCTGCATGTTGATGACCTGGAAACACATGCTTACACTCCATATTTTTCCTTGTTGCTCCTCATTTGTTTCTTCTCTGGTAGGAATAGAACAATATGGGCTTCCTCCAGGGGACAAAACAACACCTAACTCTGCAGCATGGAAGGGCGAGAGGAGCAGATGGATGAAGACTATACTTAGAGAGGGCCAACAGAGCACACACAGAGAGGAAACGCAGCTACCTGGCATCACACCTGGGCACTGCCAACTATCTTGGCAGTCAGACTGCCTGGGGAATGGGAAGGCATAGGCCAGGCGGAGAGTCAGATCCAACAATGGCTCATAGAATCCATCCCTGGAGACAGGATATTCTACAGTGCTTGCTGCTGGGGCCATAGGGTTTAACAGTTCAGTCTCTCTGCACCCCAACACATACGCCAAAAACGGGGAATGGATTTAAATGGATGTGGTTTCTTCACTTGATCAAAAGTCTCCTGACTTGCAGGAGTTTATGACAGCCTCTTACAGTCTTTTTTTGTTTTTGTTTTTTAGTTGGCAATAAGACAATCTAAAATAGTCCTTAGTACACTAAATGCCAAATCTTTCCTGGTGTCTAGAGTGAGGCCAGTAACAATTATTTCCTACTGTGGGTGGGCCTTTGGCAGGTTATCAGTATTTGCTCATCCAATAGAACCTTTGTAATGATAGAAATGTATATCTGCACTGTCCTATACAGTAGCCACTAGTCACACGTGGTTATTGAGCATTTGAAATGTGGCTAGTTTAACTGAGGATCTCTCTCTCTCTCTCTCTCTCTCTCTCTCTCTCTATATATATATATATATATATATTTTTTTTTTTTTTTTTTTTTTTTTTTTTTGAGACGAGTCTCACTCTGTTGCCCAGGCTGGAGTGTAGTGGCACGATCTCTGCTCACTGCAACCTCTGCCTCGCGGGTTCAAGTGATTCTCCTGCCTCAGCCTCCTGAGTAGCTGGGATTACAGGCGCATGTCACCATGCTCGGCTAATTTTTGTATTTTTAGTAGAGACAGGGTTTCACCATGTTGGTCAGGCTGGTCTCAAACTCCTGACCTCAAGTGATCTGCCCGTCTTGGCCTCCCAAAGTGCTGGGATTACAGGTGTGAGCCACCATGCCTGGCCACTATATTTTAAATTTTTATATGATTGTTAGTTGATTTAAATTAACTCTCAGTTCAGTTTACATTAAAATTTTCTACAACAGAAGTTTTTTAGTGACCCTGAGTACTCAAGGAAGTATATCCTAAAAGTACATCAACTGTTGTTTTTTTAATTCTAGTTAATCACGTGTGGCTAGTGGCCACACACAGCACAGATCTTGGAGTTGGCTACAGACTTCTCTGGCTATTTCTAGGTCAGCTCTGTCAGCAATGTACACGTCAAAGTCAAATTGCCTCAATCTATTGGTAAAAGACCTGGTGCCTTATTCTCAGGCCAATGCTGTCACACCTGAGTATACGATTACTGTCTATAATCTGTTGACACACAAATCAACTTTCTTCCCCTGAGATGACCTCTCTGGTTCATGTGACACTTTATCTATCCCTGCAGTGGGTCAAAACCTCACCCAGGGCATATCGAGTCAGAATCTTTGGAGGGGCAGCTTAGTTTAGAAACTTACTATTGTTATAAGCTTCTCAGGTGATTCTTATGCAGACAGCCCAATACTAATGCTTACCACCACTCTGCAGCGCAATTCAAACTGGCTGGGTTACCACCAATTCAGGATAAATATGACGAAGATAAAACTTTTAGTCTTTGTTCTCCCTACTTCCACCTTTCCCAATTTGCCCATACCCAGGAGAAAATGCTACAATTTCCCTGACCTGTTATAAACCTTAGAGTCAACATCACTCATCGATGAAATAAACCAATCCCAGAGCCCCTTGTGCATCAGAAGCATTCAACAAATATTTGATCATTGTGTCTTCCCTCATGTTCTTTGTTTCTCTTATGTGATTAATTATAAAGTAAGGCCCTTTTCCGACATCCTGTCTTGTGTGTCCATTTCCTTCTTTCTTTCTCCAACCTTCACAAAGTTAGCTGAAAATTTAATCATCTTCCTCCTGTAATACTACATCCATCACCATCATTATCATCCTCATTTTCAGGATAGCTTCTCTTTGTATTCAATCCACAAATAAACGCTGTGAGATTGAAACGATGATTCCCATTTTGCAGAGGGTTAAACTTAAGGAAATTTACCCAATGTTATTAGACTGGTAATTGGCAGAGAGATGTGAGTTTATAGCAAAGCTCATTTTCTTTTCTACTAACTGGAGCGAACTACCTGCTGGATGCTCTTGCTGCACATATGGCAATCTTCTCTCTGAACTAAAGTTATCTTCTCTGTTCAATGCTCATTGCAAAATAATAACAGAGTCGTCAATGGGAATTAAAACCCCTGGGTGAGAAACTCTTCAGAAAATAGGACATTCACACAGTCTCTGGCTAATCACACCACTCACAGTACAGTGACTGCCTAATCATAGGAAGGGACGGTGGCAGGCAACGCCTTAAGCAAATGATCAAAGTTACCTCCACAGTAATGGGACAAGTTGACATCAGGTGGTTCTTGATGTGATGCACCGAGAGAACCACATCAGTTATATATGATTTCTGTCAAAAATATTCCATTTGAATCTAATCAAGAGGAAAGAATCAGACAAGTCCAAACTGAGGTACATTTTGCAAAAAAATTGGCCTGGCCTTCTCAAAAATGTCAATGTCATAAAAGACAAAAAAGTTTGGTGAGAGGTTCTAGATTAAAGAGGGTAAAGAGACATGACAATGAAATGCAATTAAATTCAGAATTCTTAATTAGATCTTGATTTTTTAAAAAGTTGGACAAAACAGTTTTGAGACAATTGGGGAAGAGTGAATATGGACTATATATTAGAAAATAGGATTGTATCAATATTACATTTTCTGAGTATGATAGTTCTACAGTGGTTATGTGGGAGACTACCCTCATTCTCAGAAAATGGTATTTGAGATATGTAGAGGTGAAGGGTCATGATAGCTGGAACTAATACTGAAATGGTCCAAAAACAAACAAATGAAAAACAAACCACTCTCAGAGAGATAAAGCAAGTGCCCCAAATGTTAATAAATGGGGAATTTTGGTAGAGAATATAGGTGTTCGTTGTATTATTTTGCAACTTTGTTGTAGGTTTAAAATTTTTTTCAAAATAATGAGTAGGTTAAAAACAAAAATGAAAGTAGAAAAGAAATAATACTAGTAATACTTACGTAGCATTTACTATGTGCCTCACATTCTTCTAAGCACTTTATCCAGATTAACTGGATTTAATCCTCACGACACCTTAGACGGTATGTTACTATCATCCTCAGTTTACACTTGAAACAGTGGAGGCCCCGACAGGTTGTGATTTGGCCACAGTCAACCTCAAGCAAGATGTAGAGTTGGAATGCCACCCACAGTCCATGCTCTTAGCCTCTCTGCTGAACCATTTCATTGAGAGTATTCTAGTTCTAATCAGCTTCTGAGGGGCTGACCAGGTTGTTCATCACACTTCAACTGCTCTAACACTTTACAGTTTTTTCTTGCATTCATTTGAAATTTGTCTCTCTATGGCTTTTACCCATTTGTTCTATTTCTGTAGTTGGCCCATCCAGAGCAAATCACTCTTTCCTTCCTTAGAATATAAACTTTTCAAAAATTGGGACTTGGTCACATTTACCACTGTGTTCTCATGCTAGAAGAATGCCTCCTAGCACGTGACAGGAACTCAGTAAAGATTTACCAGATAAATGAATGAATGAATGGACATCAGCTTTTCGAATATTTGAGGTCAACTTCTGAAAATTTCCATTCTCTGTTGAAAACCTTCCCAGTCCCTTCAACTGTTCCATTAATATTCTAGCCACCATCCTCTAAAACAATTCCAGTTTTTCTAGTTTTAAAGCTTGTGCTCAGAACTGAAAAGAGTACTCCAGAGTTCACCGACCACCATCAAGTGACAGTAACATTTCACTGTTCTTGTTTTAGATGGCTTCCTTCTGCTAACGGAGGCTAGGAGAACACAACAATTTTTAAAATGGCATCGTACAAACTACCTAAGAGACTTTCTGGCAAAGATGATGAACGTACACATTTACTCTTGCGTCTTCCTAAGCCACACTAAGATAACAGTAAAGCATTTTGTTTGTTTGTTTACTTGCAGAAACCCACAAAAACAAAGATAATGAGAGAGAAGGAAATAGTAATAACATCCTGAAAGCTGGAAAGCAGGTACTCAAATGGCAACTGACTTATCTGACCTAAGAAACATGAATCTAAGCCAGTAGAAGAATCAGTAGATGTACAAACCCCATGACACTAAAAAACTCCCCAAAGACTTGGAAATTGGTGGCATCAGTTGTCTCTAGAAGTAGGGCTTAAGGGGCAAGGGCAAAATAGGAGGACTTGTTAAAATCCATTTAAAACTTGAAATCTCCTCCTCTCTGTGCAGTTTTCCTTCGGCCCAGCAGAAGCCTGAGGGTCTATTCTCCAGAGAGGATCAAAGAGAGGGTCTCCGGACAGGGTTCCACCAGACGCAGTTTAGGGCAGGGGTCATTTAATAAAAGGAGGACTAAGCAGGTTTGAAGGAGAGTTCAATACATATTTATATACTGACTGTCAAGACCTGTGCCCTCTTCCCTCACTCTGCTTCTAGCATGTTGGTAACTTGTCACTATTTTTCAAGCAAAAGTTTGGAAGGTCTTTCTCTGGAGAATACAACTAGTCCAAGAGGAAAGACTAAGAAATTGACAAGGAGGTGTCCCCAGAGAAATAGCTGAGCCAGATCATTCTACTGGACCTCACAGTGTGTAAACCATAGCCATGAGCTCAGAGACTCCAATTAGCTTTTTAAAAATGTTTAAAAAATTTTCTTATGTAGTAAGCTATACATAACACAACACTTAACAGTTTAAACATTTTTAAGTGTACAGTTCAGTGGCATTAAGTAGATTCACATTGTGAATCCACCACCACAGTTCACGTCCAGAACATTTTCATTACCCCAAACAGAAACTCTATCCTTTAAAAAATAACTCCCCACTCTCTCCCCTGAACCCCTGCTTACCTGTATTTTACTTTCTGCCTCTAAGAATTTGACTATTCTAAGTACTTCCTATAAGTAGAATCATATCATTCAATTGGCATAATGTCTTCAAGGCTCATCCATGTTGTAACATATGTCAGAATTTTCTTCCATTTTAAAGTTGAATAATTTCCCATTGATAAAGTAATACAGGACCAGAAACTACAGAATTATGAGAAAGACGTTTTGTTAACTCTTAAACTAGAGAGTGTTATATTCTTTTTGAAAACCAGGGTGATTTATAAAACCTGGCTACACAGTAGCACAGAGAAGCCACCCCAGGTACTAGTGGTCCACACAACAGCAGAGGGTTTTGTAGGCCTAACATTAGAGAATAACCTCTTTTTAAAAAATAATTTATTTTATTTTATTTTATTTTTTTAGACGGAGTCTTCCTCTGTCTCCCAGTCTGGAGTGCAGAGATCTTGGCTCATTGCAACCCACCTCCCGGGTTCAAGTGATTCCCCTGCCTCAGCCTCCCAAGTAACTGAGACTACAGGTGTGCACCACCATGCTGGGCTCATTTTTGTACTTCTTTTAAGTGGAGACGGGGTCTCGCCTTTTTGGCCAGGCTGGTTTCGATCTCCTGACCTCAAGTGATCTGCCCGCCTTGCCTTCCCAAAGTGCTAGGATTACAGATGTGAGCCACCATGGCTGGCCGAGAATAGCCTCTTTAAATTGCATGAGGTAGGCCAGGGATGGTGGCTCACATCTCTAATGCCAGCACTTTAGGAGAGGCTGACATGGGAGGATCGTTTGAGGCCAGGAGTTCGAGGCTGGAGTGATCTGTGATTGCATCACTGCACTGCAGCCTGGGTGACAGAGTGAGACCCTGTCTCAAAAAAAAAAAAAAAAAAAAAAAAATTGTATGAGCTATAGTACATAGATGTGTGCGAGAGTACATATGAACAAAAATAACTATCCAAGGCTGTACAAATATAGTGCAGATCCGAGGCCCTTAAGTCAATTGTGAACAACCATAAACAGAGAGAGAGAATGAATTTTACAGTGTTGGGAACAACCCCTCTGGTGTGAACCACCATGGGACACAGACTGTTATGTGATCGAGGTTCATAATCAGGTTGACAGTGGGCCACAGACTGAGGCCAAAGTGGAGATATTTACATGAGTCCTACTTCAGTAAGAGTTTCATTTGATTCCCACCAGAAGTACGAGGTTCACATGTGAAAGCTATAGTGGTTGCAACTTTATACTAACTGATGTTCTTTATGTGTTCATTATTTTGTTTTTTTATACTTACAGAATAATTCCTTCATTTATTCAAATATTTACTGAACACCTATGTGCCAAATGCTATACTGAGAACTTAGAATACAATGTTGAATAATCAAGATGCCTTTTATTATACAAGATAGATAATATCTTTTGTTTTCATTTTAACAATTTTTTTAGTACTTTGGTGTTTTAGGAACTATGCTAGAAGCTAAAACAGTGAACAAAAGGAAGCGATTCTTGCCTTAATTGTACATTAGCTATTACTGCATATGTTTATGTTAATAGTTTCAGGAATAATATGCAGTTTTATGCTACATACTGTGGGTTAGATCATTATCACTAACATATTTTTCTTGTCTTTTTTTTAATGACAGCCTACCCTTGAAAATTTTTCTTGTTTATCTGTGACATTCTAATAATGTTTATTTACTACTTAAAACTCTTCAATCTTCAAGTACAAAATCCTTACCCTTAGAAGTGAGGCCCTTCACATTGGTTTCTGTGCCTGACTTTCCAACTTTTTTCCCCCAGCATATATCCAAAATATAACTGTGTGAAAACAAAACAAAACTTCTTAAATTTTCCTGGGAGGCGCCATACCTGTAAATGTCCCATTTATCTGAAATATCCTTCCAACACACAGGTTCTCATCCTACCCTTCAAAGCTCAGCTCAGACTTGAGCCCTCTGAGAAGACCTCTCTCCTCTCCTGCACAGCCACTATGACCTAGCAGAATCTGTCACCTATCCTGTCTCAGAGTCATTTGACATGTGTAGCAGGACTCAATCTCAGTCTACTTGCTTAGTTGTGTAGGACATTGATTTGGCTCTGGGTCCCTACCCAAATCTCATCTCAAATTGGAATCCCCACCTGTTGGGGGAGAGACCTGGTAGGAGGTGATTGGGTCGTGGAAGCGGTTTCCCCACTGCTGTTCTTGTGATAGTAAGGGAGTTCTCACAAGATCTGATGGTTTAAAAGGGGCAGTTTCCCCTATGCTCTCTCTCTCCTGCCGCCATGTAAGATGTGCCTTGCCTCCCCTTCACCTTCTGCCATGATGGTAAGTTTTCTGAGGTCTCCCCAGCCATGTGGAACTGTGAGTCAATTAAACTTCATTCCTTTTTAAATTACCCAGTCTCAGGTATTCTTCATATCAGTGTGAGAATGGACTAATACAGACATCTCACTGTATTCATTAGAGCACAGTGCACTTTCTGCCAGGCTAGAAAAACTTGAAATTCAGTCACCCTTGGGGCCCTCTCTCCCCACTCCTGGACTGTGCCATAGGTCTGAGGCCCTGCACGGTACTAGAGTTGGGGTATTAGAGCCCTCTGTTTGGCAGTCCTCTGCTGACTCAGTTTACCCCTAAGTTCCATGGTCTCTTTCCACACAGCCCCTTTGGGTGCACTGGCATTCTGCTGCCTATGTGCTGTGGCTAGAACACAGACATCTTTGCAAACCTGCCTTTGGTTTCATCTGCTGCCTGAATGGCCAGGTATCCATCTCTCTCTGCAGACTTCCTACAGCTGCAGCAGCATACCCAAGAAGCCACATCTGGCCTCCTATTGCTCAGAGATGCACAGACCCCAGGCTCTTTCTCCCCTCCTCCTTGCTGCAATGGGAGGAGGGATTCTAGTCTGGTAGACAGTGGATGGAGGAAGAAAGAATCCACCCTTTAGCCCAATCCTCCAACCTTCATCTGGCTCCAGGTATTTGTTGATTCTGTGATATTCTCTCCACTCTGGAGCTTAGGCTTTTGAAACCAAAAGCTAGGAAGTATGTGAGCTGATTTCTGCATTCAACCCAGTCATTCTTCTCACGTGGGGATGTTAAAGCAATGGCTACTTATATGAGGGGTGAGGGAGGGCAATGAAAAAAGAAAAAAAATCTCATGGATTATTTCCACAAGATAATATCCTGCTTCACTCGTAAATGAATCGTGTCACACAGTGGGGTGTTTCTTGGTATTGAGCTTGCTAGAGGCAGGGTCATGGCTTAGTTATTTTTGTATTCCCTGAATCTTGACTAGCACGAGGTGTATAGTAGACATTCAGTAACTGTTTACTGAATGAACGAGTGAATAAAGTCATTGAGAACCCTCCTTTGCTTAAAATCTTCAATGGCTTGTCATCATCTATGTGATACAACTGCAACTTTTTAGCACAATATTTGAGGCCTTTGATTATCTGGCATCCGGACTGTTTTTCAGTCCCATGCCATCTTTTTCATTAATTTCTTTATTTATAGTTTGACTTCCCCACTAACCTCAGAGCCCCTTGAAGGCAGAGAGCATATTATCCTAATTCAAATGCAAATGTAGTAAAATGTGCTCAATAAATGCAGCATTAATGTATTATTTAAGCAGAACTATTTAAGCCGGGTATCCAGTTAACATTTGGTCAAGATTCTAGTACCCAGTGCAGGCAGACCTGGAAAGCATTAGCTTTAATGGAATGGCGCCTGTCCAAAGCCTAGGTATTTCTAAATCTGTCAAACACTATATATATTGTTATTAGTTTTGCCTGCTGGGAAGCAGGGGCACAAAAGTGTTTGTGAACATAAGATGAAGGGAGTCACAGGGTGAAACTGAGAGTGAGTTTACATCAAATTGTAAGCAGCTTCAAGGCAAGGATAATGTCTTATTCCTTGTTTTCTCAGTACCAGAACCTAGCAAACAATGTTTGCAACACAGTAGGCACACCTTTCTTCAGGGGCGGGGACAGACAGGGTAGCACTCTCTTGCCCAGGCTAGAGTGCAGTGGCAGGAACATGACTCACTGCAGTCTCGGCTTCTTGGGCTCAAGCAATCCTCCTGCCTCAGTCTTCTGAGTAGCTGAGACTACAGGCTTGAGCCACCATGTCTGGCTAATTTTCTGATTTTTTGTAGAGATGGGGTGTCATTTTTTTGCCCACAGGTCTTGAACTTCTGGGTTGAAGAAATCCTCCTGCCTTGGCCTTCCAAAGTGCTGGGATTACAGGCATGAGCCACTGTGCCTGGCCTCATACTTAAAAAAAAAGAAAAAAGAAAAAAAAATCAAGTAGTGTGTCTGCCAACTTTATTCTTTTCTTTTCCAAAATTGTTTCAGCTATTCTAGTTCTTTTGCCTTTTAATATAAGGTTTAGAATGTTTTTGTACCTACAAACAAAACAAAATCTGATGGTAATAACATTAAATCTGTAGATTAAGTGGTGGATGATTGACATCATAACCATGAACATGGTATATGTCTCTATTTATTTATGTCTTCTTTGATTTCTTTCACTAGCATTTTGTAGTTTTCAGCAAGCAGATCCTTTATAAGTTTTGTTAGATTTTCGCGTAAAAATTCCATTTTGGGGGAGTTTCCATAAATGGTATTTGCTATGGATTGAATGTCCCCACCAAAACTCATGTTGAAATTTAATTGCCATTGTAGCAGTATTAAGAGGTGGGGCCTTTAGGAAGTGATTAGGTCATGAGGTCTTCACCATCATAAATGGAATGATGTTCTTATTGTGAAAGTGGGTTAGTTATTTCAGGAGTGGATTCCAGATACTTAGTTTTAGGGAGCTTTTTGTTAGATACCATGGCTATTTCTATGTAGATAATTATATTGTCTTTAAATGAGGACAGTTTAAAATAATAAAAAATAATAAAGAGGTATGTGCTTTTTATTTTTTTCTCTTGCCTTATTACACTGGCTAGGACTTATAGTATGATGTTGCCTAAGAATAAAGATTTTTTATTTTGCTCCTAATCATAAGAAAAAACAAAGTTAAAAATTTCTCTTTTTTTCAGAGTTTGCTGAGAGTTTTCATCACAAATAGATGCTGCATTTTGTCAAATGGTTTTTCTGCATCAATTGATATAATATTTTTTAAATCTATTAATATGATGGATTACATTGATTGACTTTTTTTTTTTTTTTTAAGACAGAGTCTTGCTTTGTTGTCCAGGCTGGAGTGCAGTGGCTCGGTCTTGGCTCACCGCAACCTCTGCCTGCTGGGTTCAACTGATTCTCGTGCGTCAGTCTCCCAAGTAGCTGGGACCATAGGTACATACCAACATGCCTGATCGACTTTTTGCTATTGAACAAACCTTGGATTCCCAGGATAAATTGTAGTTAATTGTGATGTATTATTCTTTTTATATACTGTTGGATTTGATTTCCTAGTATATTGTTTTGAGAACTTTTAATCTATGTTTATGGGAGATATTCTTCTGCAGTTATCTTTTCCTATACTGTCTTTGTCTTGATCTTATGTCAGGGTATTGTTGACCTAAAAGAATGATTTAGAAAATAACTCCTTTGGCCGGGCGCAGAGGCTCATGCCTGTAATCCTAGCACTTTGGTAGGCTGAGGTGGGTGGATCATGAGGTCAGGAGTTTGAGACCAGCCTGGTCAAAATGGTGAAACCCCATCTCTACTAAAAATACAAAAAAACTAGCTGGGCGTGGTGGCGCACGCCTATAGTCCCAGCTACTAGGGAGGCTGAGGCGGGAGAATTGCTTGAACCCAGGAGGTGGAGGTTGCAGTGAGCCGAGATTGCGCCACTGCGCTCCAGCCTGGGCAATAGAGGGAGACTCTGTCTCTAATAAATAAATAAATAAATAAATAAATAAATAAATAAATAAAACCTCCTTCTCTTCTATTTTAACAAAAAGTCATATACAATTGGTATTATTTTATTATTAAATTTTTGGTAGAATTAAGGAGTGAAAGCATTTGAGTCTGAAGATTTCTTTTGTTGAAAATTTTTAAACAACAAATTTAATTTCTTTAATAAGCATAGAGCTATTTAGGTTCTTTCTTTCTTCTTGGGTGAATTTGATAGTCTGTCTTTCAAGGAATTGGTTCATTTTATCTAACTTGAATTTATGTCTGTAGAGTTTTTGTAGTATTCCTTTATTATCTTTTTAACATCTGTGAAGTCTGTAGTTATGTGCCCTCTTTTATTTCCAGTAGTAGTAATTTGTGTTTTCTCTCTTTCTTTGTCAGACTGGCTAAAAGTTTATTAATTCTATTGATCCTTCAAAGAACCAACTTTTTATTTCATTGATTTTTCTCTATGGTTTTATTTTATAAATTCTGTTCATTTCTGTTCTTATCTTTATATATTTTTTCTTCTGCTTCCTTTGGGTTTCTTTTGCTTTTCTTTTTCTAGTTTCTTAAATTGGAAGCTTGGATTTTTAAATTGAGGTCTTTTTTCTTTTCTAATAAAATCACTTAATGCTATGAATATCCCTTCAAGTACCACTTTATCTTCATCCTGTATATTCAGAGATGTTGTATTTTCATTTTTGTTCAATGCAAAACATTTTGTAATTTTCCCTGAGATGGTAGCTGACAGAGGTGAACTGAGTTGTTTAATAATATACCGGAGTGGTTTTTAGGTATGATTAACTGAGGAAGTTTAATGCTGTTTTCCTTTTCACTCTTACTGAAGTGGGACATTACAATGAAAGAAAGGTTTTAAGAAATAAAGCATGCAATAAGCTATTTACCTTGAACCATTTATACATTAGCAATTTAATACAGTGATTTCCCTGCAACTTAATTCTGGGAAGATCCTAGGAGGTTGCAAGAATTTGGTTCTAAGAATCAGAAACTTGAGTTATGTCAGTAGCAACTTATCTTCCAGAAATATGCCACATTTTTTCTTAAACTTTAATGTGCGTAAAGATCACTTTGAGAGCTCATTGAACACAGATTCTGGGCCCCCACTCCAAGAGACTCTGATTTAGTAGGTCTAGGATGGGCCAAGGATTTGTATTACTAGCAGGTTTCCAGTTGATACTTATGCTACCGGTCTGAGGACCATACTTTAAGTAGCATTATTCTACAGCATTAGAAAATACTGCCCACCAAATTCTCTTTGACATCCCTTCATACATTGCATAGTTTTCTGTTTACTTCCTCTTCTTGTCGTCTTCCTTTTCTTTCTTTTGCCCTCTAGATATAGGTATTTTCTAAGGGTATAACTTTAGCTCTTTTCTCTTCATCTTTCCTTCCATTATAAATTCAACAACTTCTTATTGAGAATCTACTAACTGTTAAGCTAGGCTGCTTCTGGTACCATGTAAGGCAGAACCAGTGGGGTCCATGCCTCTTGCTCCACTATTATCTTCTCTGTGAAAGTGTTCTCAGAACTTTCTCACAGACCTGACCACCTCCTCCTTTGCTTTCCCACAGCTCTTTATTTGTTTCTCTCATATGGATTTTATTTCATTCTATATTTGTTGGGAATTCTCTGAGACAATATCCCAAATCTTGTTTGAAAGCAGGATCTGGACTGGACAAGACAAGCTTAACCTCCAATTTTGATTTTGTCACCTATCTGTATTTACTCTTTCAGGTTCAATAATTATATCAGCCTGGGAATGGATTAGAAAATTGTGATGGCGGGCTTGATGGTGCACACCAATAGTCCTAGCTACTTGGGAGGCTGAGGTGGGAGGATTCCTTCACCCCAGGAGTTTGAGGCCAGCCTGGGCAACACAGTGGGCTCTGTCTCTAAAAAAGGAAAGAAAATTGTGACAATTTTTTCAACACAATATGCCTTATCCTGATGCAAAATATATATTGGAATTATGAAATTTTTAAATTAATATTTGGAAATGTTGCAAGATGACAGGAAGGATGAAATAAAATTCCTTTTTAAGCATACTGGCACAAGACAAATCTTCATAGTATTTATTTACTTTTATCTAGTTCAGTTCAAGGAACATATATTAACAAATCACAATAAGCAAACACCATTCTATTATACTTGCATGTATTTTTTTCCTTTAGGCTTCTCTCTATATATCATGCCTCTCCAAATTTTGTGGGGGAAAATATAGATTGGCCCTATTCTTCTTGCTTGTGGCAGCAATCAATGAAAATAATGCTCATTCTTTTGGAATTCTGGGTGTTAAAAAAAGGGGAGATGTGGGGGCTGGGGAGAATGCTTTTACATAATGTCTTTATAAATATTAGTGGAGACTTCTCTGAACTATCTCTGTCCTGCTCCCCAGACTTCCTTCTCTGTGATAATAAAGTGCTCATATAGGAAGTCACAAAATTGCAACGGAAATCCAAACTCAACTTGATTTACTAGGTCCTCAAATGTTGACCTGTTCTGGACTCATAAATAGAGTGGGAAGGCATTTGGGTAAGGGAAAGAGCAGGAAGCCATGAATTACCCAGTGGATCTTTGAAATCAAACAAATTTAACATAGAATGAATACAGGCATTTCCTGGGGAAGAAGGGAAGTGTAGTCCTGCCTGTCAATTACCCTGTAACTATATTAAATTTAGAAGATCACAGATATTCCGCCAGGGATCTCAAGGACCAGGCGGGAGAATGCCCATACCTTTTGCATTACAGTGGAGACAGATCCCAGTCACATCCAACTTACTCACATCCAACTACATGGTGAGCCATATTTTTCACACAACATGGCTCCTAAATGCATGCCAACTACTTTAGTGCTCAGGAAGAGAAGCAGAGATATGTTCCAATAATGGGAAAAACGGGCTGAATTGCCTCCATTGAAAGATGATGCACTGTTCGTTGTGGGTGATTTAAGGGATCTTCCTTGGTAGAGGAAAGCTGGTGCGTCAGTGCCTCTAAACATCCGTGGGCAGCTGTAGAATCAGGCCTCCCAGAATCTGCTCTTCTAGACTATCGGCAGATGAGAGCCGGAGGAAGGCCAGGTCTTTATAGAACCACCTTCCGGGGCTGGGTGCGGTGGCTCACGCCTGTAATCCCAGCACTTTGGGAGGCCGAGGCGGGCAGATCACCTGAGGTCAGGAGTTCAAGTCCAGCCTGGCCAACATGGTGAAACACCACCTGTACTAAAAATACAAAAATCTTAGCTGGGCGTGGTGGCGTGCGCCTTTAGTTCCCAGCTACCTGGGAGGCTGAGGCAAGAGAATCGCTTGAACCTGGGAGGCGGAGGTTGCAGTGATACCACCACTGCAGTCCAGCCTGAGTGAGAGAGTGAGACTCCATCTCAAAAAAAAAAAAAAAAGGAAAAGAAAAAAAGAAACCACCTTCCCCTCCCCTTCTATCCATCTGGACACTCCTCCTTCTTCCCTCTTTTCTCATTCTCTTATAAGAGAAGTTTCCTCTTTTTACAGGTGGGGCAGTGGAGGTGGTACAGCCAAAACTTCATTGAAAGGAAAATTTGGTGTAATGCATTTTGAATGAGACCTCTCACCCCAGACAAACTGTGTGACCCTGCATGGCTCAGGGGCCCCAGTACGCTACAATAGCTACATCCAGGAAAGTGTTACCATGGCTTGGTGATTTCCTAAGCATGAGAAAAATCAGGCTGTCCTCACTGTGAGATCAAGTTTGAGGTTACCGCTAGGCAGGATGTGATATGGAGAGTTTTTTTTTTTTTTTTTTGCCAAATGGTACCTCTTCTTCTAGCCTAATGGTTATTGAGTTTTAAGAGGAAGGAAATTATATTTATTTTTGGTATTGTGCAGAATTATAGAGGAAATGTGTAAATCAGAGGAAAAATCCAGATATCCTGAAAGAAAATGTGAGACGAGCGGCAAGGTGGGAACTCAGGGTACCAGGGCAAGTCGCTAAAACATCACTGGAGCAGTGCGATTGCTCCAGAGGAACTAGGTCACCAGGAAAACCTTTGCTTAGAATCTAAATTAAGAATAAGGTCTCCCCATTGTTTGTCTTACAGTGGCCAGAGTTCATGAGTGCCTTGCTTTGTCCCCAGGGACCCTGTTTCTCCACTCTAAGCCAGCTCTGATTAAGAGGAAGCCATATATCCTCTAAGAATATTCCTGTCTTGTGCTTTACTCAGTAACATTAACAGAGGGAAATGAGGTTATGTGAACTTCTCATGGATATTTTGATGGCAGTGACTCAGTTGATACAAAGGATTCCCTGTGAAGCAAATCCGCATAAATAGAGAGTGAAGTTTATTCTAGTGATTCCCCTAGGTTTCACCAGCTCAGGAAAGAGTAAAGAGCATCCTAAGAGACAGTAATTCCATAACCATATGCAGATGGCCAAAACTCAGGGTAGGAAATGACCCCGAGAAAATAAAACTGTGCAAAAATCTTCCACTGCAAATGGTTTAGGTATGGATTATTTAATTATTTATTTATTTAGTTTTAATTTTTATACCTTTAGGGAGTACAAGTGTGGATTTCTTACAGGCATATATTGCATAGACGTAAAGTCTGGGCTTTTAGTGAACTTATGACCCGAATAGAGAACATGGTACCCAATGGGTAACTTTCCGATTGTCAAGCCCCTCCCACCTTCCCATCTTCTGTAGACTCCAGCGTCTATTATTCCACTCACTGTGTATGTCCATGTGTACTCATTGTTTAGCTCTCACTTATAAGTGAGAACATGTGGTATTTGACTTTCTGTTTCTGAGTTATTTCACTTAGGACGATGGCCTCCGGTTCCATCCATGCTGCTGCAAAAGACATGATTTTGTTCTTTTCTATGGATGGACAAGTATTCCATGGTGAATAGTCTATCCCATTTCCTTTATCCAGTCCTCCACTGATGAACACTTCAGTTGCTTCCATGTCTTTGCTATTGTGAACAGCGTTGTGATAAACATTTGAGTACAGACATCTTTTTGATATAATGACTTCTTTCTCTTTGGGTGTATCCCCAGTAGTGAGATTGGGTCACATAGTAGTTTTGTTTTTAGTTCTTTGAGAAATCTAGGTGTGGAATATTTTAATGACTGAGTCAATTCTGATGCCAATAACTTCTTTTTTTTGCTTTCCATGTAAATGACTATTGCTTGGCAGTCAGTGGGCTAAGTTCAAAACCTACCTTATCTTCAAAATCTTCTAGAGCAGAAAATGGATTAGTAATAGGAAGACAAACTCAAAGCAAAATAGTTTAGATTCATTCAGAACTTAGCAAATGTGAAAATTATTACCTAAGAAAAGAAATTTTAGAATTCTAGAGAAAACGTCCTACACACCTACACACACACACACACACACACACACACACACACACACCGTTAGATTTTTACTTTTCAGGAGGTGTTCATCACAGTCCCCAGAGAAAATATTTAACCTTAACATGAAAAAAGCCAAGTCTTTTCCTTAAATAAAAATACCTTTCAGATCAGCACAGGGCCCATGTTACTGTTTTGGTTCCTAAGGAAGAACCAGTTTTGTTCTCCTCCCAGAAATGTAAGTGGAGCGTGAGTCCCTAAAGGGCCAGGTGGAGCCTTGGTGGTAGCTGAATTGGAGGAAGGGAGAACACATGTCTTTGGAATTGACTCGTAGACTCTCTCTGCCTTTGGAAACACCTGAGACAGAATCCTTGCCATCAGCTCTTCAGTCCTTCTTCAGTTACCATATGTTTTTATATTCATCTTTTCTCCTCTAATTTTTTATTCATATCCCAGAGTGATGAGCCAATGTTTTTAAAATAGACGATATCCAATAAATGTCCCACGCGTGAATGGATTGTTCTTATTCACTTCTGGGCTTCGAATGATTATTTGGTGCTATGTCTCAACAGATATTGATATGCAGGCAGTTCAGATATGCCAGCCACAGGAATGACTTCTACTCCATTAACAGCCTGAGAATTAAATGCTATAGTGGATTAGGAAATCTGAAGTTACTTACCTAAAAAAAAATGTGCATTGGGATCAAATCGAGATAGGAAGAAGGGAAAACTTTAATTACTGGATCTGCCTTGACATCACAGAAATGTTCTAAACATCTCCCACTTCTTTATTTCTTTTCTTTTTTTTTTTTTTTTGTTATTGGTGGCCAGTGAGAGTGAAGATAACTCACACACACAAAAGGGGAAAAGGCTTTTAAAAAGACAATTAGAAGCCAGGCGTGGTGGCTCATGCCTGTAATCCCAGCACTTGGGGAGGCCGAGGCAGGCAGATCCCCTGAAGTCAGGAGTTTGAGACCAGCGTGCTCAATATAGAAAAACCCTGTCTGTACAAAAAATACAAAAATTAGCCAGGCATAGTGGCACGGGCCTGTAGTCACAGTTACTCGGGAGGCTGAGGCAGGAGAGTTGCTTGAACCCGGGAGGCGGAAGTTGCAGTGAGCTGAAATCGAGCCACTGCACTCCACTTTGGGCAACAGAATGAGACTCTGTCTCAAAAAAAAAAAAAAAGGAAAAAAAATTAGAAACTTAGAGGAGTATGGCCATGATGCAACTCTCTTGAGATCACACGCCCCCTTCTTCCAGAAAGCCACCAGCTTTTGTTTTCATCAGTAACTGCTAGCAACAGGTCCCTTGTTACTAACATAAATTATGGATAAAGAATTGGTAACAGAGGTACGATAACTCCTCTGCATCTGATAAAATAAAAGGGGACCTGCCTTCCTGGATAGGAACATTCCCAGTAGCAAAAGTAGAAGAAGAAAAAAATATTTACTTCAATGCTCATCCCCTTCTCCCTCCCACTTTCTCACCTTGAAAACAACCTATTGAAAATGTTCACAGAAGGGAGGTTCTGCTCAGTTTTTGGAAGAACGCAGCATCTAAGTATTCATTCCACAATGACTTGAGCTGACCATATCAGTAAATATGTTGTACTCAAACAAAATTGTTCAAGGTGGAATAGAAATAAGGTCTCAGCTCTTGAGAGATAAGGCAAAGGAAGCACAGACTGCTCATCTGAATCTTCATATGGCTGACCTGGAAGAAACCAAAGACTTATTTGGCCAAAGTGTGGTTTTCTATCTGAACAAACATCCAATTATATGCGGAATAGACTCCAGAGCATTTCAGAGAGATAAAGTATAATGACCATGGTATTAGCCTTGCAGAGGCAGATCCCTGGGTTACTGACAAGCCAGAGGGCTTGTGTAACATCTCTGTAACCTACCTGTGTCCAAAATCAGCAGTAAGGACTTATCTGTAGTCTTCTCAGATGTTCTTGATCCTTTTTTGTGTGTCCTAGAACCACTTCATCCCATCCAACACAATGACAACACTTCAAAGAAGAATGTCACAGCCTTTGTAAGTCTTTCTAACAAAAGATGTATTGTCATTACTGGATCTCCTCTTGTTCCACACAAAGTTGTGTCTAGTATTCACTGTTCTGAACAAATCATTTGGTAAAGCATTTCATAAGTTTATTTGGATGAGGATAGCATGGGCTTTTTTGAACCACTGGTGAGAGACGAGTTGGTTATCCAGAGGCTGCAAGACCTGTGCTCCTGGGCTTTGCTGTGTGAAACACCTGTGCATGCAGAATGCAGGATAAATCTTTTGAGACCATTGGATCTACCATGCTCATGAAACTTATCTAAGAAAATCCTTGTAAGGCACAAAAACAGAGAAAGAGGATTGAAAGACCTGGCCGAGATCTTAATCTTTCGTGTTGATTGCAATGTGAGTTGCATTAACAGCAGGTACACAGCTTCTATCACATTCTTTGCCTTTAGAGTCAAGCTTTCATATAGTTCAGGGGGTGCCAAGCTAGGGCCCAAGAGCAAACTATGGCCTGTTGCCTCTTTTTTATATAGCCTGAGTCAAGAATGATTTTTACATTTTTAAATAACTGAGGAAAAAGTCAAAAGAAGAGTTATATTTTGTGACAAACTAAAATTACACAAAATTTACATTTTAGAGTCCACAAGTGAAGTTTTATGGAAGCACAGCCACACCATATTGTCTATATCTGCTTTTCTGCTATACCAACAGAGCTGAGTACTTGCAACAGAGACCATGTGGCCTGCAAAGCAAAAAAATATATAAAATAAAATATTTCTATTGGTCTTTTACCAAAAAAACAGTTTACTGACCCCTGATAAAGTTCAAGTTCATTCTTAAATTCAGCCTTGCTAATTAAATAGACCTGAAGTCTTGCTAAAATGCAAGGATTAGTTTTAGAGAATTATGATGTAATCTATTGGGAAATGAGCCACAAATTATTATCAAATAGGATATAAACTTAATTTTTATTAAAATGGAAAATGTTTCATAAAATTTATTTTAAAAATACAGTTATATAAAGTAGAGACCATCACAGGACATGTGGTATAAAAGAGACCTGACCTGGCCAGGCCCGGTGGCTCACACCTGTAATCCCAGCACTTTGGGAGGCCAAGGTGGGTGGATCATGAGGTCAAGAGACCATCGTGGCCAACATGGTGAAACCCCGTCTCTACTAAAAATACAAAAATTAGCTGGGCGTGGTGGCAGGTGCCGGTAGTCCCAGCTACTTGGGAGGCTGAGGCAGGAGAATTGCTTGAAACCAGGAGGTGGAGGTTGCAGTGAGCTGTGATCGTGCCAATGCACTCCAGCCTGGTGACAGAGCAAGACTCCGTCTCAAACAACAACAACAACAAACAAACAAACCTGACCTGCCTATTAGTCAGGGAAATGAAAATTAAAATGCAAAAGGATACTGTTTCATGCCTCCAAAATTGCCAAAAAATTTTAAAAGTCTGATAATATGAAGGGTTGTGAAGGTGCAGAACAATGTGCATGGGCAATATGTGTACTCACACAACCGCTTTGGAAAGCAGCTTGGCAATTTCTAATAAAATGGAAGATGGGTTTAATAAGATGACTTAGTGACTCCACCCCCAGGTTTATAGCCTATTCTAAAGCAATTCTAGCACCTACGCAAGAGGAAACATGTAGAAAGATGTTCTATGCAACACCAACACGGTAGGTTGTGCTTTCTGCTCCCCTGTGGCTGGGTGGAGCCCTGTGGCTAGTTCTGGTCATTTGAGTTGTGAGCAGAAGTGACACACATGGCTGGAGCATCTATAAGGCCAATGTGAAACCCTTCTGAGTTATAATAAGCCACAGGTTAAATAGAAATTGCAATGGAAAATACTTCAAATTAAATAATAATACTACATATCAAAGCTTACCATTATACTACAAATACTTATCATTACACTATCAAATACTACATATCAGAGTGTTAGCCTTGCTTAGAAGGGAATTTATAGCTTCAAATGCATATTTAGAAAAGAAGAAACACTGAAAAAAATCAATAAACTTTGAATCTTAGCTTGGGTTCCCCAGAAGCAGACCTTGAGCCAAGGATTCAAGGGCGAACAGTTTAATTGGGAGTGAATTAATTAGCTTGGGCTGCCGTAACAAAGTATCACAGGCTAGGTGGCTTAAACAACAGAAATTTATTTTCTCACATTTCTGGAGGCTGAAATCTGAGATCAAGGTGTCAGCAGGTTTGGTTTCTTCTGAGGCTCCTGCCCTTGGCTTGCAGATGTCTGTGTTCTCCCTGTGTCTGCCCATGGGATTCCCTCTGTGTGTGTTGTGTCCTAATCTCTTCTTATAAGGACACCAGTCATAGTGGATTAGAGTGTACCTTCATGATCTCATTTTAATTTCATCACCTCTTTAAAGCTGTATCTCCAAATAAAGCCACATTCTTAGGTACTTTGGCTTCAGACTCGAACAAATAAATTTAGGGGCTTCGTACGTTGAATCTGAGGGGCTCACAGTTCAGTCCCTCACAGGGAAATAGACAAGTAGGAACAGGTAGGAAGTGAGATACGGAGGGAAGACAGATAAATAATAAAGGGTATGTTATGAAGGCAGTCATCACAGCAGGAGACTGGAGCTTGATTGCATTAATTACCAAGAAGAACTCTAGAAAACTAAGTAAAATATGCTTCAGAATTATCTCAGCCGAAGGGCAAGAAGAGTATTTACACCCTGACAGCCTTTGGTCTTTAGTTAAAGGTTTCCTCTGGCGCTGTTAGTTCCCAGGCACCTCCAGCCCACTATGCCCATAGGCTAAGTAAGTTCAGGCAGCCTGGGGACGGCCCTCGGACAAAAATGCAGGTCCCGGCCCTTGGAGGTCTGGGAGTGCACAGGCCTGACGAGGGATCCCAGGACATACCAATGGAGCCCCGTTCGTGTCAGTTAAGAAGCTCTCTCCGGACATTACCAAAGGAGTGGCGAAACAAATCCAAAGAGAAAGCAATCATTGTAACTAATTCAAATGTATAAGCAGACAAGATTCTCAAAACCACAGGCTGATTCCTTAAAATACTAATAAAAGTGAAAAATTGCTGTCAAGATTGATCAGTTAAACTAGAGACAAATGACCTAGTGACAAACAATGTCAGGAATTTTAAAACGGGGCATCATTAAGGATCACGCAGACATGAGATCATTAAGAGAAGTAACAGAAAAAAAAGGGTGAATACCAATTTCACTCCTAGTTATATACTCAAAAGTATTGAAAACAGGCACTCAAACCAATACATGTACATATGTGTTCATGGCAGCACTACTTACAATTTACAAACATCAAAAGGTGAAACAGCCCAAATGTTCATCCATAGATAAATAGACAACAAACTGTGGTATATTCATACAACAGAATATTGTTCAGATATAACAAGAAATGAATTACCAAAACGTGATACAAGGTGAAAAAACCTCAAAAATATTACATTAAGTGAATGGAACCAGACACATATTATATAAATCCATTTATATAAAATAACCAGAACAGGTAAATGCATGGAGACAGGAAGTCGATTGTTGTTTGTGAAGGCTGAGGAGAGGGAAATGGAGAGTGGTTAAAGGGGATGCGTTTCCTTCTGGGGGGGATGGAAATATTTAGGAACTAGATAGAGATGTGATTGCACAACACTGGGAAAGTATAAAATGCCATTTAATTGTTCACTTTAAAATGATTTGATTTATGTTATGTGAATTTCACCTCAATAAAAAAGAGAGAGAAAGGGTGAGGAAAAGAGGAGAAACACCTGGCAGTTATACACTGCCAGCCATGTGCTAGGTCTACACTGCCATTAAAAATGCACTAGTTTTAATATTTTGATGAGCTCAGGCTGGGCAAGGTGGCTCATGCCTGTAATCCCAGCACTTTGGGAGGCTGAGGTCGGCAGATTACCTGATGTCAGGAGTGTGAGACCAGCCTGACCAACATGGCAAAACCCGGTCTCTAGTAAAAATACAAAAATTAGGCCGGGCACAGTGGCTCATGCCTGTAATCTTAGCACTTTGGGAGGCCGAGGCGGGTGGATTGTCTGAGCTCAGGAGTTCGAGACCAGCCTGGGCAACACGGTGAAACCCATCTCTATTAAAATACAAAAAAATTTAGCCTGGCTTGGCAGCATTTGCCTGTAGTCCCAGCTACTAGGGAGACTGAGGCAGGATGCTTGAACCCGGGAGGCGGAGGTTGCAGTGAGCCGAGATTGCCCCATTGCACTCCAGCCTGGGCAACAGAGCGAGACTCTGTCTCCAAAAAGAAAAATAAAAAAAATTAGCTGGGCTTGGTGGCGAGCGCCTGTAATCCCAGCTACTTGGGAGGCTGAGGCAGGAGAATTGCTTGAACCTGGGAGACGATGGAAGTTGCAGCGAGCTGAGATTGTGCCACTGCACTCCAGCCTGGGCCACAGAGTGAGACTCTCTCTCTTTCTCTCTCTCTCTCTCCCCCCAACCCCCCCCCTCTATATATATATGTATGTGTATGTATATTTTGATGAGCTCATTAAATACATTCACAATTGTCCCATAAGATAGGGATTAATAACACTTTTATAGAAAAGAAAGGAGTTCATGGAAAAGAATCTGATTGTTTCTCTGTTTTGCTGTCACTTTGTGTTTTGCGGAGTTAATCCAAAGAGTTGCTTCAACAAGCAGAACTCAAGGAAACACGGGTGAGGTTACTTTCAGGCTTGGAGACTTCTGAGCTAAAGGAAGTGGGCCAGGGAAGGGCTAGGTGCTCTGACATTCCAAATATAGTCTGCTTGGCCACTGAGGAACAGAGATTTGTTGCTAGCAACAAGTACTTAGAACGTGTGTGATTTGGCATGTCTCGAACTGTGAAGTAGATGCAATGCAGGCAGAAAATCGATGATGCTATGGGGAGGGGCTGTGTAGGGTGTTAATCGCCATCTGCAGTGCCTGGAGGTGGGGTGGGGAGAAGTGAAGAATCTCTTCCTTTTTAATAGATTTTCAAGATGGGAAAATCATATTGCAACCCACAGGCATTTGGAAACAATTTGTGCCGAAGACAGAAAGTACACCTAACGTTAAGCTGAAAAAACTGGACGCTCCCAGCAAACTCACTTTGCAGACTCCTGGTTGTCAGAAGAAAACGCCAGAGGATTTCACTTGGCATTGACCTCTTACTACTTCCAGCCACTTACCCTGGGCAGTAGAAAGAAGGAACAGAAAGCAGAGTAGATTAAGAGGAGCAAGTACAAATGGCGTGGGACTTCAAATCACCACCTAAGATTACTTCTTTGATTTCTGAAAAAGTAGGTCAAAGGAAGATGTCAGGTGAGATGGGAATGGGGGAATGGGGGTGGGGGAGGAAGAGTTAAGCCTGATTCACAACCCTATAGGCATGCGGTGAAGCAAATTCTTTGGCACTGTTTATAATTTACCTTAGAAGGTACACTTGTGAAATCTTTAAGAATCATGAATGTTGTCCCCGGAAGAAGTAGGTACATCTTGAATCTTTAATTCTGCCTGGGACAAAATGACCATATGAATGTTAAGTTGAAAGTGCAAATTAGCATAGAATCATCGGGCCAAAAGTTGAAAAGACTTTTGATTAAATCCTAGAAGAAAGATGAACGTAAAATTACAGATCGAAAACCTTAGATTCATATTTTATTTCTTAAAACTCTAAAACTCTGAGCTTTTATCCTTATCCACTAACAAATTGATCAGCACTTTCTGTTGAGTTAAACTCTGAATTGAGGGTCTTTTTGCCTCTTGCCTACTTTCATTCAGGCTGGGTTATTTCTTTTCCTTTTTTGTAACTGTGGTTTTTTTATTGTGGCAAAATACACATAAAATTAGTATTTTAAACATTTTTAAGTGTACAATTCCATGCATTTAGTACATTTGCAATATTGTATGACTATCCCCACTTCCTTGAATAGTTCTAGAGAAACAGAATGTTAAGGATGAAGGCCAGGTGCTGTGGCTTGTGCCTGTAATCCCATCACTTTGGGAGGCCAAGGTAGGAGGATCGCCCGAGCCCAGGAGTTTGAGAGCAGCCTGGGCAACATAGTGAGACCTCTTCTCTACAAATAATAAAAAAAAAACTAGCCAGGCATAGGGTAGTGTGTCTGTGGTCCCAGCTACTCAGGAAGCTGAGGTGAGAAAATTGCCTGAACCCGGGCAGTTGAAGCTGCAGTGAGCTGCGATAGCACCACTGCACTACAGCCTGGGCAATAGAATGAGACCCTGTCTCAAAAAAATTAAATGATTAAATTAAAAAGAAAAAAAAAAAGAATGTTAAGGACAGGTTTTCTGAAATGGTTCTGCGGTTTCTGGAATTGACTCTCTAATCTGATTAGATTTCAAGATGCTAATGACTTTATTTTTAGTAGTAATGAGAGCACTGGTAGTCCATGGCATGATCTGGCAATAGAGATACGTAAAACAGCACCTTTGGATACTCCTTAGCAACCCCTTGTAGGAAGCAAGGAGCTGCGGGGGCAATGGGCGGGGGGGCGGTGGGGAGCTATGTATATACTTACGAACACTTTTTGCAAACTAACAAGTATGAGATTGGCTGGTTGATCCAAATGTCACTGGGCAAAGTGGGGAAAGGAAAGGATGAGCTCCAGGATTTGAATCTTCAGCTTAAGCCCCATGTACAAGACCTGAAATCTTCTACAGGTGCCCTGCAAGATCATTATTGCCTTTAGCAGCAGGGCTATGATTGCTGAAAATCAAACACAGAATCTTATCCTGAGACTGGCTGAATGACTGCCCAGGTTAAACTCTCAGCCTCACAGGAAGTCAAACGTTGAAGTGAGGAAGATATGCACTTTGAGAGCTGGAATGGGGATATGTAGGAAGACCTGATGAAACTGGGGAAATCGAGCCCCTGGAATCTGATAAATATTTGCCAGTGGAAGAGGCCTCTCTAACCTCTGGGGAAGCCACCTTCCCACTCCCAGTGGTAGTGGCTTCTCCACCCCCTCACCTCTCAACTGGTGGGATTAAACTTGCATTGTCCTCGAAAACTGTAATGACCTCCTCTGTGGTAGATGCTATGCTAGACAGTGATTCTCCTCAAGATCCATTTATATCACCCCTCTGTGCTTCTAGACCTATAACTTGATTCAAGTCCTAGTAGGCTCCTAAAGGTAAGGTACAAAATGTAACTCACAAGGAAGCATACCACAGTTCAAAAGAACTACTGGAATTTTCTAATTTATACAGATAGAAATCTGGGAAACGTGTGGGAGTGGATATTGAGAGTATAGGATAATGGCAGGAGGAACATAAAGTTGGATTAGGTGGAATTCATTGATATGGGCTCACTAAGCAGAGATTCTGTATTTAACATTATAGCTCAGGCCGTTCGAAAGGGCTCTAATTGTTTGTGCTATACTTTAGTTTGTTTGTTCCCTCCAAATCTCATGCTGAAATTTGATTCCCAGTGTTGGAGGTGGGGAACAGTAGGAGGTGTTGGATCAGGGGGCAGATCTCTCAGGAATGACTTGGTGCCATTCTTGCAAGAGTGAGTGAATTCTTGCTCTATTTGTTCCTACAAGAGCTGGTTGTTTAAAAGAGCTCAGTACCTCCCTCCCCACCACCTTCCTTTCTTGCCATGTGATCTGCACACACCAGCTCCCCTTCACCTTTTGCCATGACTGGAAGCAGCCTGTGGCCCTCACTAGATGCAGATGTTGGCATCATGCTTCTTGTACAGCCTGCAGAACCATGAACCAAAGAAGCCTCTTTTCTTTATAAAGTATCCAGTCTTAGATATTCCTTCATAGCAACACAAAGGGACTAAATTTGGTTGGTTGGCTGAAACATGGACCAAAAGGTGGGCAATATTGAGTGAGTTCAAAATGCTAGACTGCCTTGGTTTAATATAGAGGAAGAGATGCAAAGGCTTAGGGAGATTGAAATGTTAGAGAGGATTTGTCATTTAGTATCTTCCCCCTCACTCAGGGAGAGTCCAGAAGACATATTTTTCACCATGATTGTGAGACATAAATTTGTGATGGAATCCCTGGTACCCTTGAAAAACTCCGTGATCACTCTTCTGTGTAGGTGAGACTTTACAGTGGGATCTGCAGTCACTGAACTGGGAAACCTAAATGCAATGGAGTGATTGGATCCTAGGGTGGCAGGAGCCATGTGGCAGCTCTTAACCACCAAAGGCAAAGTGAGTGTGGTTACCTTAAGGGACAGTAGAGTCAAAGCAGCAATCAGAATAGCCTGGCTTCCACAGACCAATGGCATTAGCTAGTTGATCGTGATGTTTTCAGAAGTGAAACAGATAGAAAGCCTACTAAATTATTAATTGATCTGTGTAAACAGCAAAGTTCAAGTGAGCAAAAGTCTATCTTGAATCATAAAAGCAGGGAATCATGGCCCCTAAATGAATTCCCAGACTTAAGCCAGTTTACAGAGCCAGAACCCCTTGAATGAAGAGGAAGTTGGGCCCCCTTGATAAAGGACCGTGGTACACTGCCAATAATTTATACTGTTACTTTTTCCCCAAGCCTCCCCAAAGGGACCTATAGCCTTTTACCAGGGTAAATGTGCCTTGAGGAAAAGGAAGTAATCAGATATTCTGGGTACTACCAGACAAAGGCTCTGAACTGACATGGAATCTAGGAGACAGGAAACATCACTGTGGTCCACTAGCCAGAGTAGGGGCTTATGGAGGTAAGATGACTCATGGAGTTTTAGCTCAGGTCTTGTCCCAGTGACCAGTGGGTCTCAGAAGCTTTCTGTGGTTATTTCCCGAGTTCTGGAATGCATAATTGGAATAGATACACTCAGCAGCAGGCAGAATCCCCACATGGGTTACCTAAACTGTGGGATGAGGACTATTATGGTGGGAAGGGCCAAGAGGAAGCCACTAGAACTGCCCTTATGTAGGAAAATAGTAAGCCAAAGGCAATACTGCATCCCTGAAGGGATTTCAGAGATTAGTGACACCATCGGAGATTTGAAAAATGCAGGGGTGGTGATTTCCACCACATTCCCATTCATCTTGCCTATTTGACCTATGTAGAAGACAGTTGGATCTTGCAGAATGACAGTGAATTATCATAAGCTTAACCAGGTGGTGACTCTACTTGCAGCTGCTGTACCAGATGTGGTTTCATTGCTTGAGCAAATTAACATATACTCTGAAACCTGATATGCAACTATTGATCTGACGAATGCGTTTTTCTTCATATCTATCAATAAAGACTACCAACAGCAGTTTTCTTTCACTGCAAGGCCAGCAATACACATTTACTGTTCTATCTCAGGGGTATGTCAACTCTCTCCAGCACTATATTATAATCTAATTCATGAGGGTCTCAATCGCTTTCACAAGGTATTACGTTGGTCCATTTGATTGATGACATTATGTTGATTGGACCTAGTGAGCAAGAAGTAGTAACTACTTTAGACCTATTGGTAAGAAATTTGCATGTAAGAAGGTGGGAAATAAATCCAACAAGCTTCAGGGGCCTTCTCCTTAGTGAAAGTTTTAGGCATCCAACGTTGTGAAGCTTATTGAGATATCCCTTCTAAGGGAGGGCTAAGTTGTTTCATCTGGCCCCTCCTACAACCAAAAGAGAAGCACAATGCCTACTGGGCTTCTTCGGATTTTGGAGGCAACATATTCTTCATTTGGGTGTGTTACTGTGACCCAAAAAGCTGCTAATATCGAGTGGGCCCCAGAACAAGAGAAGACTCTGCAACAGGCCAGGCTGCTGTGCAAACTGCTCTGCTGCTTGGGCCATAAGATCCAGCAGGGCCAAGCAATGGTGCTTAGAGTGTCAGTGGCACATAGGGATGCTGTTTGGAGCTTTTGTCAGGCGTCTATGGGTGAACTGCAATGCAGGCCTTTGGATTTGGGAGCAAAGCCCTGCCAGTCTCCACAGATAACTACTCTCCTTTTGAGAAACAGCTTTTGGCCTGCTGCTGAGCCTTCGTAAAGACTAAATGCTTAACTATGGGTTACCCTGTTACCATGTAACCTGAGCTGCCCATCATGAACTGGGTGTTTTCTTACACAGCAAGTTATAACGTCAGTGTGCACAGAAGCATTCTATTCATCAAATGGAAGTGATTTGACTGATTGGGACTGAGCAGGCCCTGCAGGCACAAGTGAGTTACATGAAGAAGTGACACAGATGCCCATGGTTCCCACTTCTGCTACACTGCCTTATCTCTCCCAGTCTCATGGGGAGTTTCCTATGATCAGTAACAGAGGAAGAGAAGGCTCAGGCCTGGTTTACAGATGGTTCTGCACAATATGCAGGCACCACCTGAAGGTAGACAGCTGCAGCACTACTGCCCCTTTCTGGGACATCTCTGAAGGATGCTGGTGAAAGCAATTCCTCCCAGTGGACAGAACTTTGAGTAGTGCACCTTGTTGTTCACTTTGCTTGGAAAGAGAAATGGGTTGGCATTTGCTTATCCTCATTTATGAGCTGTGATCAATGGTTTGCCTGGATGGTCAGGGATGTAGAAGGAGCTCCATTGGAAAACTGGTGACAAAGAAATTTGGGGAAGACATATGTAGTTAGACCTCCCTGAATGGGGAAAAAAAAGTCAAGATAATTGTGTCCCATGTGAATGTTCACCAAAAGGTGACCTCAGTAGAGGAGGATTTTAATAGTCAAGTGGACAGAATGAACCGTTCTGTGGATACCAGTTAGCCTCTTTCCCCCGCCATCCCTGTCATCGCCCAGTAGGTTCATGAACCAAGTGGCCATTGTGACAGGGATGAAGATTATGCCTTGGCCCAGCAACATGGACTTCCCACTCACCAGTGCTGACCTGGCTATGGCCACTGCCAAGTGCCCAATCTGCCAGCCTCAGAGACCAGTGTTGAGCCCCTGATATGGCAGCATTCCCCAGATGATCAACCAGTTACCTGTTTGCAGGTTGATTACATTGGACCACTTCTATTAGGGAAGGGGCAGCATCTTGTCCTTAGCGAAAGAGATGCTTACTCTGGATATGAATTTGCCTTCCTTGCCTGCAGTGCTTCTGCCAAAACCACCATTCATGAACTCACAGAATGCCTTATCCACCCTCATGGTATTCCACACAGCATTGCTTTTGACCAAAGAACTCCACAGCAAATGAAGTGTGGCAGTGGGCTCCTGCTCACGGAATTCACTGGTCTTACCATGTTCCCCATCATCCCAAAGCAGCTGGCTTGATAAAACAGTGAAATGGCCTTTTGAAGACTCAGTCTAGTGCCAGCTAAGTGGCACTACCTTGCAGGGTTAGGACAAGGTTCTCTATAAGACTGTATATGCTCTGAATCAGCATTCAATTAATGATGCTGTTTCTCCTATAGCCAGAAACTCACAGGTCCAGGAATCAAGGGGTTGAAATAGGAGTTCTACCACTCACTGTTACTCCTGGTTACCCACTAGTAAATTTTGCTTTTTGTTCCCATGACTTCATGCTCTGCTGGCCCACGGGTCTTAGTTCCAGAGGAAAGAATGCTTCCACAGGGAGACATAGCAATGCTTCCACTGAACTGGAAGTCAAGACTGCCATGCAGCCATTTTGGACTCCGTATTCCTCTGAATCAACAGGCAAAGAAAGGAGTTACTGTGCTGGTTAGGGTGACTGAATCTGACTACCAAGGGGAAATTGGACTACTACTCCACAACAGAGGTAAGGAAGAGTATTTCTGGACTACAGGAGATCCCTTAGGACGCCTCTTAATATTACCAAGCCCTATGATTAAGGCCAATGGAAAACTGTAACAACCCACTCCAGGAAGGACAGTGGCTCAGACTCTTTGGAAATGAAGGTTTGTGACCAGCTGAGGCGCTTGTTGAAGGCAAGGGAAATACAGAATGGATAGTAAAAGAAAGAGGTTATAACCACCAGCTATGTCAACACGACCAGTTACAGAAATGAGGACTGTAATTGCCGAGTGTTCCCCCTTTTTTGTTGTGTGTGTGTGCACCTGCGATGCTGTTTCTATCATGAGGACCCTAAATCCCAGGCCATGAGTTTCACTTCAGAAGCAGGAGTGAAAAACACTAACAATACTACAACCCCTCAAATACCTCGCTCACCTTCCAGGGAACTTCTGAATTATTTTCAGTAGGAGACAAAAATTATTTTTTCATCATTGAATATCAAACTCGTGACAGATAAAAAGAAATACCAGTAGAGGAGAAATATCAAATACCTGGGAAAATGATTAGCTTACAAACCAATAAAACATACACATTGAAACAAGATTCAGTTTACACGATCAACTTAATTGAAAAAGACCCTAACACTTAAGTTGCTGGTTAGGTTGTGTAAAATATTTGAAAGCAATCAAAATTGATTAGCTTCTTTGATCAGCAATGTTAAATGCTTATTAAAAACCACAAAAACATTCACATCACTGATAACGTTGCTCAGCCAGTGACCACCAGAAACATACACACACCAAGCTGGGTTTAGTGCTTACAAGGAACCATAGAGTTGCTCAGTAGGAGCTTAGAAAGGACTTGTGGTAGGATTTTGGCTCATATTAGGTATTTAGGGGGAAGATTTAAGGAAGTGGGGCTTTGTTCTGGATTGGATGCTATCAGGAAGTGTGAGTAGTTCTATGAATAAATCTAATCTAGAAGGCGAAAAAAAACTAGAGCAAGGCTAAAGCTTAAAATGGGTAAGAAAGCTGTGGCAGTCATTCATTTATCCAGGATAGGAAGATGCCTGGGTCATTTTTGTGGTTTGTGTATTTGTCTGGATTCAGACACGATTGTGCGGTGGCCTTTTTCTTGTCCTGACCCTTCGTGGCCTCAGAGTGGCCTTATCTGATGTTAGAGTTCTGTGAAATTGTTTGTGTTCAGCAGGAGAACACATGGGCTAGCTGTGAGGGCCAGGCCTGCTCCTAATGTCAAAGGCTGCTTTTCTCTTCCTAACCTTTCAACCCCAACACTGTGTGTATTCGTCTACTTGGGCTACCATAACAAAATGCCACAGACGGGGAGGCTTAAACAACAGACATTGATTTTCTCACAGTTCTGGGGGCTGTAAGTCCAAGATCAAGGCATTGCAGATTTGATTTGTCCTGAGGCCTCTTTCCTTGGTTTGCAGATGGCCGCCTTCTCTCTGTGTCTTCCAGTGATCTTTCTTCTGTGTACATGGAGGAAGAGAGAGATCTCGGCTTTCTCTTTCTCTTTTTATAAGAACACCTGTCATATGGATTTAGGCTGCACCCTTATGACCTAATTTAACCTTAATTACCTCTCTAACATCTGTATCTCCAAATACAGGGGGTTAACACTTCAACATATGAATTTTGGCACAATTCAGTTCCCAGTACTGTGCATCGGTCCAAGATTTCTGGAGAGATCTTTCACAGAAGGTTAAAAAGAATGCACGTGTTGATGGTGGTATTACCTTCCATAGTAAAACTTAGAAATAGGCAAATATTTCACAAAGCAGAAAGGAAAAAGCAGGTGAAGGCTCAGCGAACAAATGGGCTTAGGGGTACTCAAATGGTAGTAGGGTGGTGGGTTAATTGGTAACTGTTTTTAATTATTCATTTTTTATGTTGCTATAATACTGCTTTTGCGGCAATAATCATGCAAATACCTATGGGAAAGTTGATAAAGAGACTTAAACTTTTTCTCCCTTTGGAGTAAGTGAAAGCTAGCAAGTGCTCTGTCAGCATGTTTTAGTGTACTTCTGTGGGAAACAATCAGAAGGGGGACCAACAGGGCACTGAAAGTGGGGAGGGACCCCATTGCAGCAGGAGCATCAGCAAAAGCCCAGAAAAGGACAGCTTGGGAAAAACCTGTCCAACACCCCACTTTCCTGATTTAGCCTACTGTGGGCTCTGCTGTATAGCCTGTGATGACCCAAATCATTTTCCAGATTCTGCCTTCAGAACTGAGCTGAGTCCTTGTGTGATGCTGCTGCAGTGCCCCCAAACAGATGGGAAGGAAGCATAATTGAAGAAATAATCCTCTATGCTGGCCCCACTCCCCGCCCCCGATGGAACTCTCACTCCATTAGAGCAAACATTCCCAGAGGTATAAGATGATGAATAAGAGATTCTTTTGTCTGGTTTTGTTACTGCCCTCATAACTATTCTTTTAGTTTTTTTTTTTTTTTTTTTTAACCTGGAAGAATTGCCCTCAACTTATGTAATAGGTGCAATAGACCCTTGATTTAGATTGTAGGTCTTGAAGTGCTCAGGAGCCCTAAGCATGTGGCCCATACCCATTTTAGGACAGATTGTTACGGCGGAGAGCATGCTGTAAACTTCATTGGCAAAGCGGAGTCCAGCGCTACTATCTGGGCCAAATCTATTTATAGGATCAAGTCTCCAATCTCTCAAAACAACCAATTTCCCCTAATCTTTATGGTGAGCCTAAGTGCCGGCACAAGCCCCATAACCCCGAACCACTCAGACCTCCCCACAATGCTGTCCTCCCACCCCACTCTGTCACGCGGGGTCCTCTGGAGGTTAAAAGAATTTATTTTGAAATGAAATGGCAACTGGAAAAAGCTTTTATTTTCATATGGGAAAAACCTCATGAAACATTTTTCTCTTGATTAGTGTTCATAACAGCAGCCTGGAATGCTTTCTGCAACCAATTTGTAGATGTTCTTATAAAACAGATCTCTCTTCTTGATGTGATTTTTTTATCCCCCTGCACATTTGTTCTGCTTAAACCTTTCAGCACATTTGTTAACTTGAGTGACATCTAAAAAAATCACCACCCCATTAATGCGGACTCATCCAGTCCATGGGCTGTGCATCGCTCCTTTAATTGGGATGGCTTGGTTCCCTCCCAGATGTTCCCTCTCAGCAGATACCATTGTGTTTTGAAACTTTGGATAATTATAGCTCTGTAAACGTAGAGGAGATTTGTTGGCTCCAGCCAGCTCCTGCTCCTAATGTAACAGCTTCATTGTTCAGTAATCGCCCTATTCACAAAGCAAAGGGATCCGTGTCAGCAAAGACATCTATTCAAAGCACCTTCCCTGTGCTGGATAAACAGTGGCAGAAGCAGTCTACTGAGCGACAAAAACACTCACAGGGGACTAGGCCACAAGTTTGACCAGGGCTGCTTTTCGCTTCTCAAATGGGACCATTCTTCAGAAATGTCTTCACCTTTTCTTTTGCAACCAATCAGCCTGCAGGCAGAGTCTTTTGCTTTGCTGGTGAAATCCCCGCTAAATGCTAAAAAAAAAAATTTGTGGGAAAATTTTGTGGGAAACTCTCTGCAGCGTAGAAATGAGGCAAAGGGGCCGAGATGAGATGCCAACCAGTGGGGAGTGGTCCACACATGCTGTCACCAAGGAGGACAGGGGAAAGATAAATGTCCCTAAGCTGTCTTCTAGGAAAGATCCAGAACAATTTCTGGGAGTGCTGTGGGAGAGAGTCAACAGTGGCCACACAATGTAGGAAGAGGTAGAGAGGTTCTTTGATTCTTTTGAGAATGTTCGCTGGAGTTTAGACCCTGAGTTTTCTAGCCAGTGGGAGCCCAGTGAATATGAGAGCCCAGATTTCTCTGGCTCTTGCGTACACCCGCTAATGCAGGAGCACGCACTCTCGGAAAATTCCTCCGTCCTGTGCTGGTGTTTCTGAAACTCCCTGGGAAATCTACTTAGAGGGTAAAGAGCTTGAGCCAAGCATAACTGACTTGCACTTAGATTCACGGCGGACCTAAGAGCCTAGCGCTACCCTGTCATCATACTGAAGGCTCTCAGCAAACCACGCAGTCTACACATGCCACTTTGCGACTTCCTCATTTCTCCTAGATCTGGTCCTGACCCTGCGGGCATCAGGAGGGCAAGCCAGGATCTTGGGAGGGGGCAGAGATGAACAAGAGAAAAAGCAGGGAGATTTTAAAAATAATTGCCATAAGTGGTGTAAGTATAGAATATCCCGTGTGTGTATACCTATATAAATATATATTATATAGGTATACATAAATCATATGTGTATGTATATATACCTATATAATATATATTTACATGTGTATATGCATGCATATATGTATTAAAGGGATGACAGCTTTGGCATAAAGGTTGTTTAGAGGTGAGAATATTTAAAATCTTATCTGAACTTTCCTTATCTGACTAACACAGAGTCTTTCAAAAATACAGGCTGCTATTAACCCTGCTCTGAGGGGCTTTCCTGCGAATTCCAGGAAGTGGACAAATTGTCCCTTCCCATTGGCACAAAGAAAAACGCACTGCACCTTACACATTTTCCCATCGAATCCCTAAATTCCTGCTGCTCCCTTTTTTGTTATATTGGTACAATTCGAGCATCCTTAATCCAAAATCCAAACTGCTCTAAAACTCAGAAAGTTTTTGAGCACTGAGAGGATGCCACAAGTGGAAAATTCCAGACACATATACGAAAGGACACAAACTTTGTTTATGTGCAAAATTCTCTTTAAAACTGTATGAAGTTATCATCAGTCTATGGGTATAAGTTGCATGGAAAACATAAATGAATTTTGTGTTTAGACATAGGGCCTGAGATTCCCAAGATCTCATTACGCGTATGCAAACATTCCAAAATCTGAAAAAATCCAAAATCTGAAACACTTCTAAGTCCCAAGCATTTCAAATAAGGGATATTCAACCTGTATAGAAACCTTCACCACTGGGTATTCAGTGAGTTACTCATTAGTGACGTCAAATGCATGCGTAAATAAATCTTCTCTTTTCTTCTGCTAATCTGTCTATTGCCAGTTAATCTGCAGGCCCCCAAGCATTCCAAACTAATTGAATAGACGAAAAGTCTTCCTCCCAATAGTTAATATATATATATGAACACACATGCATACACATATGTGTATATTCTGTGGACAGTTCCTACAGGTTATAGACCAGGAAATATTCTGGCCACCTGTCCCAGGGGTACCTTTGTCTCCCCCATATCCCAACACACAGTTGCAAACCACCGCTCAGAGTGGGTCTCTCTCCATCGGGGTCTGCTTCTGTCAGGTGGGCATCAGCTGTGCCCATCCAGTCTGCTGGGCACTCACATCTTCCAGCTGAGGCCCATGGCCCTCCAGTCACCAGAGCCACTGAGCTGCCTATTGTTGACAGGAAGGAGGGAGGGGGCCTCTGTTCCTCTGTGTGATTTTCTGTTGGAGATATTTTTTTAAAGCATTCAAGCTTATGCACTAATGTTTTCTAGGGCTTTAATGGAACGCCATTTCTATTGTTTTGTTTTCTTTCCCTTTAAAAAGCTCCCCTTCTCCCCATGGGAATTACACCTGCATCCACCAGGGCCCCACGGGGGAACCATCCCTTGTTCAGAGCCTACCAGCTCCCTCAGGCCTCTGCTCTGGTCCTGTTAGTGCTATTTCCCCAGCATCAGAACACTGTGCAGCACCTGGCCCAGGCCCTATCCACAATTCTAAAATCCCCAAACCTCTGAAAACACAAAAATTTTTATAAACACCTTGGTGGCAAAACATGAAGTGAAGTAAGGTGGCATTTATCCCACTTAGTGTGAATATTCATACATTTGGCTGAGACAGGACTGTGGAAATACCGTGTTTGATTTGCAAAGTGTTGCCTCCAACCCCTCTAGGGATGTTATATAATATTTGGTTTATGCACATTGCCTTTCTCAAATCTGAAAATTTCTGAGTTCTAAAACACATCTGGCCTCAAGGGCTTCTGATATGTGCTTGTGGACTTAGGCACATGTCAATAAATACGTGCTGAATGCACTTCTGAACTCCTCCTTCTTTCCCACCTCCAGGGCTTTGTTACAGGGTCAACTTCTCGATGCTTGGCTCCTTCCTGTCTGATAAGAACCATCCCTCAGCCTTCAGACAAACAGGTGTTAAGTATCTTTTCCTCATCTATCCTAGGCTTGTGGCTTAGATCCCTCTAACACAAGACAAATTAACAAGGGTAAAACATACACATTTCTTTAATATAAGTTTTACATGACATGGAAACTTCAAAAATGAAGACCCACCCCCCAAACAGAGAAACCTGTGTATTTTCATGCTCAGGTTTGATGAAAGTGTGATTGGACAAAGGGAGTATGATGTCATGGTAATAAATGGGGGGGAACTTAGCAAGGTCTGTTTGTCCATATTCTTCGTGGTGTTTCTGTGTCTTCCTTCCTTTTCTCTGGGAGTAAGGAGGGCACTTGTCACATGAGGTCTTATGACCTGCTTCAAGGTAGAAGGGAGAATACATGTAAAAGTGAACTTCCTGCTTCTGTGCTTTTCCCAAATGCCAAGTTGCTATATTTTAAGGTAGCGTGTCCTGAACCCCATCACAGGCTTTTGGTAGGCCTGCCCAGGTTCAGTATGACCACTGGGGGTGATCCACACGTGAACCAAAGCCAGATCCCAACTACACATGGGAGTTTCCTAAAAAGAAATCCACCCTTAACATCATATTAGGAAAAAATAAGATCGAATATTTTCAGATCTGAGCAGGCATTCAGGTCTACTCAGCAGAAAAAATTTTTTTGAAGAAATGTAATCTAGTAGCAGTCATTTATAGACATCCTGAATACAGACATTTATCCACACTCCAGTCACACCGAATCAGTTTCAGATGGGAGTTCTAGAATCCTCTTATTAGTATTATTTTAATCTTTCTCTCTTTTTCCTCCTCACTCTTCTGCCCAAGGTCCGGAGTCTAGTCTCCTTGTATCCCAGAGGGACGTGGTTAGGTTTATTCTGCAGCTGAAGAAGCTCATGCTTCAGGGCCTGTCACTAACTGAAGCCTCTTCCAAGCCCTGCACCTCCTTTTGTATTTGAATTTATGAGTTCTACTCCTTCAAAATGACCTCCCGAGTTAATTACGCTCTAGATCACACAAAACATGACCCCTCCCCTGGGAGATGACAGGTATTGCTGGTCCCAAAGGGAAACCATGGGTAGCTCCCTGTAGTCTTTTCCCATCTTCAGGATGGAGCATCTATAAGACAACCCTTCCTCATGTTAATAATGATGGATTTCTCACTGCATAACTTGGATATTTCATGCTAAAATACTCCCCCACTTCCAGGAATCAGAGGCCTAAGAAAGGGAAAGTCTATACACCTCCCTGAGATAGGGATTTTTACCTCTCATTCGTAGATAAGAACAATGATGCTCAAAGAGCTTGACAAGTCATTTATCTAAGATCATGCAGCTGGTAAGAGATCCAGTCAGAATTTGAACCCAGGTCCTAAACTCCTAAACTGGTGTTTCTTATTTTATCCTGTGTTCCTAATTCATCAGAGGCAACCATTTGAAGAAAGAAATAATCTGGATCCTTCGTTTCAGAGTTAGGTAACTGAACATGCACTTGAGCCTTACAGAGTAACCTAGCCCCAATAGTGCCAACATTTTTAGTGAACACAAAGATAAGTTTTGAGGCTTTCTCCCCTTGAGTTTTGAGGCTGCTTTCTCCCCTTTCACTTTTTTTTTATACCAATGTATGTTTCAGCAGGAAACGTATAGGATAAAATCCTTATACTTCAGGTGCTGATGTGCTTAAGCCACTTAACACTTTTTGGCTTAATTTTTTTAAGAGGGCTTTATGACTTGGAGCTAGAGCAATCCTAACGTGTCTGTGTGACGAACATGCTAATATTTGTGCTAACGGCAGGGTGCAAAATCCAGAAAGGCCAATGACATGGGGCTGAGAGGCAGGACCTTCTTGTCACCCCTGTGTGACATAAGGGTTTCAACAAGGTGGGCTTCCAGGAGTTGATCCAGTGGGGAGTGCAATGCAGAGGTGACAAGGAAGGGACACTCTATGAGTTTATAGGAGCTGTCATAACAAAGTACCACCAACTGAGAGGCTTCAAAAAACAGAAATTTATGGTCTCATAGTTCTGGAGGCTGGAAATCCAAGATCAAGATGTTGGCAGGACCATGCTCCCTCTGAAGGCACCAGGGAAGGATCTAATGTTCCAGGCCTCTCTCCTAGTTTCTGATAGTTCCTTGGCTTGTGGAAGCATGAATCGAACTTTCACATGGTGTTTTTCCTCTGTGTGTGTGTCTGTGTCTAAATTTTTTCTTTTTATTTATTTTTTTTTTGAGACAGAGTCTCACTCATTGTCGCCCATGCTGGAGTGCAGTGGCACTATGTCAGCTCACCACAACTTCTGCCTCCCAGGTTCAAGTGGTTCTCCTGCCTCAGCCTCCTGAGTAGCTGGAACTACAGGCACACGCCACCACGCCCAGCTGATTTTTATATTTTTAGTAGAGATGGGGTTTCGCCATGTTGGCTAGGCTCCTCTCGAGCTCCTGACCTCAGGTGATCTACCTGCTTTGGCCTCCCAAAGTGCTGGGATTATGAGCATGAGCCACCATGCCCAGCCCAAATTTTTTCTTTTGATAAGGATACCCAATCATATTCTATCAGGGGCTCACTCTACTCCAGTATTACCTCATCTTAACTAACTATTATATCTGCAACAACTGTATTTCCAAATAGAGTCACATTTTGAGGCACTGGGGTTAGGATTTCAAAACATAAATTTGGGTCATGAGAACATAATTCAACCCATCACAGACCACCCTCTGGATCATCCTTTTCACATACAAAATGCATTCACCCAAACCTAACACTCCTGAAAGTCTTGACGTATTCTAGTATCAACTCTAAGTTCAAAATCTCATTTAAATATCATCTAAATGAGGTGTGCGTGACAGTCAGTGTGATTCATTCTGGAGCAACATTCTTCTCTAGCTGTGAGCCTATGAAACCAGACAAGTTTACTTGCAAGATAGAAATGTTAGGACAGGTATAGGACAGACATGCCCATTCCAAAAGGGAGAAATCAGAAGGAAAAGGGGACTCAAAAGTTCCAAGCAGGTTCAAAACCTAGCAGGATAAATTCCATTAGATTTTAAGCTTTGAGAATAATCATCTGGCTTGATGCTCTGTCCTCTGAGCTCATTTAAATTATGCAGAAAAAATTAATTTGCTTAAAGTCTACTGATTTAAAAGATTAATCATATCTAAAAAAAACACCTTCACAGCAACATCCAGACTGGTGGTTGACAAAGCAAATGAGCACAATAGCCTAGTTTAGTTGATACATAAAATTAACCATTGCAAATACTTTTTGAGAAATTACTAAAATATGTCCAAGATGGGAGAAAGTCAGGAAGAAGCTCTTAAGAGAGAAGGTGAAGACATGTTTTGGCTGCTTGTCTTAGGCTGTGTCCCAGAGGGGCAGGACTCAGAGGAGTCATCAGCGAAAGATTGTACAAAGCCTAGTTTTAATCTGTCACAATGCTTTAGATCAGAGGAATGCACAGAAAGAACTTTGTGCTTTCAGTTATGACAGAGCCAGAGAATTTTCTCTAGCATCCAGGGTGAAGAGCAGATGAGGTGACTAGGAAGTCAAGTGAAAATAGTGTCAGGAGTAGCCTGAGAGGTACCAGAATACGCCACCCCAAAATATGCCCCTTTGGCATATGGATTATTTTGAGCTCGAGGCCATTAAGAACCAGCAGTCTCAGGAAAAGCTCTAAAACCAGGGCACATGGTTTCCCCTAATAAACGAAATTTAGATTTGTGGAGATATCTCCCTCTCCCATACCAGGAAAAGGAGTACTCTTAACAACTCTTATCAATGAAGAAGGTACTGATTTAAATCCACATAACACACCTTACTAAACAACTCTTGTCTACCATACTTTTCCTGGTCACCATCCCATAACTTGCCTCCCCCACTCAGAAGCCTCAAACCCCTTTTCCTGTGTTTTATGTTAAGGTGGTATATAAGCCCAAGTTCTAACCACTCCTTTGTGTTACTCACCTCTGGGTACTTCCATGTGTAATCATGATGCACATGTTAATAAACTGCTGCTTGCATTTCTCTTGCTAATCTGTCTTTTGTCAGTCCAATTTATAGGGCTCCAGCTGGAGAATCTAGAAAAGTAGCAGAAAAAATAATTTTTTTCCTCCCTTGTAAGCTCTAAAAGACAACTGGATGATCTAGGGCTGGGTGTGCTGGGAGGGGGAAAGCTACCCGTGACCTCCTAAACGTGTATCAACAGACCAATAGTCTATTGTATTGTATTTGTCTGTCTGTCTGTCTGTCTGTCTATCTATCTATCTATCTATCTATCTATCTATCTATCTATCTACCTACCTACCTACCTACCTACCTACCTACCTACCTACCTATCAGACTTCAAGTGCCATGTGTTCGTCTTTTGCAAGGATATCTCCCCAGCAGGCAGCACAGGACCTTATGACTAGCAAGTATTCAAGTAAGAGCTATTGAATGAGAATGTCAATGGACTGCATCCAGCTTCCTAAAGCTCAGGTGACTATATATATATATATATATATATATATATATATATATATATATATGTATATATATGTGTGTGTGTGTGTGTGTGTGTGTGTCTGTGTGTGTGTATTTTTGAGACCGTCTCACTCTGTCATCCAGGCTAAAGTGCAGTGGCATGGTCACCACTTACTGCAGCCTCAATCTCCTGGGCTCAAGTGATCCTCCCACCTCAGCCTCCTGAGTACCTGGGACTACAGGATAATTTTTTTTATTTTTAGTAGAAACAAGGTTTCACTATGTTCTCCAAGCTGGTCTCAAACTCCTGAGCCCAAGTGATCCTCCAGCCTTGGCCTCATCCAAGTGTTGAGATTACAGGAGTGAGCGATTGTGCTGGTCAACAACAACAGTTTATAGCAGGGTGAGGAAGATGCAGTTTAGTTTGCAGAGTGCAGTGAACCTATCTCAAAGCCGTGTTTGTCAAGCCAGCACACTGTCTTTCCCTAGGTCATGTGGCTGTTTGCACAAGGCTGATAGCTGAAAAGTGGGAGATGTTAAAGCACCCCCAGCCACCCCTTGGCTGCCACAAAAGCCTGGTGGTTGTGTGATCCTATGTTAAGATAAAGTGAGTCGGAGGATGTCAGCCTGCTTTCTTCTGTTCTCAGTCTGTAACCAGAGATCCTAATCTTGATGCAAAGTTGAGGTTCACTTCTGGACATGCTTTATTCTAAAGGGCATGGGGGGAGGAGAAAGGGAGGAGCACATTTTGAGGAGGAGGGAGGCCTCTAAGAGAAATTCCTTCCTACTGGGCGAGGGCAGCAGCACATTACCCATATACAACCTCCTGGAAGCCTTCTGTTTGTCCGTCTGTCTAGGGCCCATCTTGTGTGCACTGAAGGGAGGGACATAGAGCAGGCAGCTGGGGTTTATGATGATATTTCCATATCAGCCTGTTTGGCACCAACGCACTACACAAAACATTCGACACGTGATATTCTTTTCCCTGGTATTGCTAACTTGCAATCTCTGTGGCTCAGGGGCCTCCTGCCTTTGAATAAGACTTGGGAGAGAACCAGACGGCGATCCGAGCCTCTAGCTTTCCATTGACAAGGAGGCAGCTCCAAACTGGGATTACTGATTTCCATTTCAAAACTGCGTTCAATTTAGTTGATTTAAACGACTTGACTTTCCTCTGTGAAATGACTGTGGCACGTGAGCTCAGCCAGTTGCTCTTTGAAAGGCATCAACACGCTCCCTGCAGGGACCGATGGAGCTCCGCCACCCATTGTTTATCTAAAAACAGCGTTTTATTATTGTCGCTCAATTAGGCCAGACAGCGGACACAAATGACTTTCAACAGCTACATCCTGATGCTGTGCATCACACATAAAATGCCAAAGACTGCTCTAATAGCTAGCTAATAAAATCAAAATGTGCCTTTGTTGACTCGAGATTACTCACATCGTCACTCTTTCTACCGAAGTCTCTTCTTAATCTAATTACATACAATGTTTCCACTTTAGTAAAAGAACATTAACCTCAGTAATCAACAATTCTGTCCTCAATTTATTTATGAGCAAGCAACCAAGGTTTTTCTGAACGTAAACTTTGGAGGAGAGTTTATTTTCTATACACAAACTAGCATATTTTTTTCCCTCTCAAGGTCAACATATTACTGCCTCTAGGGTTTTTCCCTTCAAGCTTTTTTTTCTTTCCTAAAAATTGCACAATCTGTCATTTCACAGACACCCACGAAAAGCCACTCCTAGGTTTCTCCCTGTTGATACTAACTGCTGTGAAAATGCTATTATACGCAAATATTTCAACTGTTTTGCAAACATATGCTTTCATACACACATACTCACTGCAGACGCCATTGCCTGAAATAGGAAAGGCCCTTTGAAAAAGAAACGAAATGCATTGAGCCTCTCAACATTTGCCATTTTTCAATTGCGTCTTGGAAGCATGGATGACTTTAACATTTAGAAATTACATTTGTCAGTGATTGCACTAGAACTTGGTTCTTTGAATGAAAAGATCCCTGACACTTGATTTATACCTCTAATTTAGAGCATGGGAAAAGCTGAGGATCAGAGAAGTGAAGAGATTTAGCTCAGGTGAGTAACCACATGAGGGACTGGAACCCAGGAGTTCCGAGAGCTCCCTGGATGGGCACAAACACAAAATACAAGAATCGGGGTAGTAAAGACTCCTCCTTATGGTGCGGTCATGAGGGCCTGGATTCTGCAGTGAGGGTTTAGTTGTTTAGCCGGATTGAAGCTGCACTTTGTGGCTGGCCGCCACCACCCACCCCATTACCTTCATCTCAACACACACACATGCGCTCTTTGGTAATATAACATTTCTCAAGTTTTCATTTGAGTTTAAGGTTGGACTACATCCAGGCCAAACATAAAGAAAATCTCAAGGCCGGCCCTCCCCTCCTGATGAGCCCTGCCAAGTTCCCTCAGGTTTCAGCATAGATGGGGAACCAATGTTACCTCACGTCTCAAGACTCCAACTCTGGGCAGGCTTGGTCTCGCCTCCTCTCTGCACTCTCCTTGGGGTGAGAAGAAAGGGGGTGATGTTGGCAGTGTGACAGGAATTCCTTGTTTTACCCATAAGCAAAGAAATTAAGTCAGGACTGAAGGCCAAAGTCAAGGAACCTGCAATGGCAGAGGTAGGAGCCTGTGAACGAACATGCAATTGGGAAGCCAGAGCTCTGTCCTCCTGAGCCCACTTCTTGCTGGTTACCTTGGACTGAGCCTCCAGCATTTTATCAGGAGAACCAGAAGCAGGAGGTCATGGCCAAAGAAGTGCCTAAGAGTCAAGCAACCTTAACTTTGCTCCACAGCAACATGCATCTGTCACTTAACCAGCTCTAAGCCATTTGGGCACAATTCTTTTTTTAACTAATTAATTAGTTTTAGAGACAGTCTTGCTCTGACACCCAGGCTGGAGTCCAGTGGTGTGGCCAAAGCTCACTGCAGCCTGGAACTCCTGGGCTCAAGTGATCTTCCCATCTCAGTCCCTTGAGTAGCTAGGACTACAGGCATGTGTCACCATGCCTGGCTAATTTTTTAATTTTTTTTTTTTGTAGAAACAGGGTCTCACTATGTTGTCCGGGCTAGTCTTGAACTCCTGGCCTCAAGCAATCCTCCCACCTTGGCCTTTCAAAGTGTTGGGATCACGGGCGTGAGCCACCACATCCGCCCATGGACACATCCCACAATTTTCTTCTAATTATGTTATCCTTACCTCTCGGTGGAACGGACTATTTGAAAAGCACAAGATGTCCTGTCAATGCAAATCCTTATTTGCCCCAATCTCGTATTTTCGTGGAATGATGATAAGTGCAAAGAAGAGGTAAGAGGTATCTAATGTCTGCAAATGAGTTAGAAAAAGAGTACTTTGGCAGGAACACAGAGTTATTTTATTAATTACGAGCTATTACTTAGGGATCATATGTCCTGTGTATGCCTTTAAAAGAATACTTTTTTTTTTTTTTAAATCATGCTGTTATCCTTCTGGCCCTCAAATTCTTTCAGATTGGTGACAGTTGGTCGGTTTCTCTTCCTTTGCCGCCTGCCCTCACAGGGTGAAATACCATCCCCAACTGGGGGCTGCCATCCAGCTAGCTGCTTGGCTGGGTGGAGGATTTCCTTTATTTCCACTGGCTAACGTCTCAACAGTACTGTGCTCTGGCTTTTAAAACCTTCCGCAGGAAGCCACACAAATGACCCTCAAAATGTGTGGGTTTTTCTGGAACTCCTCACCTTGAATTTTTAAGCCCTCACCCTCTCTTAAGTTCTGGCCTCTCCTGCCTTCTGAAACCACAAGGCAGTTAGAGATTGTAATCTCACAACACAAGTCATTTTGGCATCCACAGTCAGATGTCACCTGGGGTCACAGTCGCCTGTATGCGGTGGAAAGTTCTAAGCAGTTGCAGTTGCTTTTGTGATATGCCAGTTGACTTGGAGAGAGAGCCCCAAAACCCAACAGGAAGGTGGGTTTTCTGAGGCATGCTAAAAATATATTTACATTTGTTTATATGTGAATGATTAATTTTAGTCTGCGGAAAAGGATTTGACAAGGATCTAGAGGCTCAGTGGGGGCATGGCATAACTAGCGATATTTGTGCCCGGACAAAAGCAGTCATTTGGGCTCTTCTGGTTGTTGCCCCACTTTCTTTTCTCCTTGCCAGTCCCACAGTTATGGAGAAGGAGGTAACACTGAGGCCAGGTCTGCTACTCCACATCGTTTCTCTGTTCCTCCGTAGGCTGCCTGCCACCACCAGCATGCCATTCTTGAGCAGCACATAGTTGAGCTTCTGGCTTCGGGAAGCTCTTTCTCGCGTTAAGTGGCAAGGCTGTAACTTCAGAAGTCTCTGCCCTGCGGTGCCCTGTGCTCAGCATGGCCTGGGTGCTCAGTGGCTAGCAACCGTGAGCTCAGGTCTCACCTTTGGGCCACGTGAGCAGGTTGGCCGGACATCTATACTCTAGATAGTTCCTGCTTTGTTGTGGGATCTCCACCCACTAAGAGGTGGCCAGGAAGTTTAAAAAGACATGCTGGTTCTTTAGAATCTGGTTTCATGCATTCTTTTCAGATGGAATGATTGGGAAGTAGGGGAGAAAACAGAAAAGCACACTGGTGCCCTCCTGCGAACACAGCATCTGTCCCACCTTCATGCAGTCAAACAAAGCAGAGGGAATGTGAATCAAAAAATTTAAGGTGAGGTGAGGGGAAGACCCCAAAGGACCACTGGCTGACACTAACTCTGGGACCAATGGCAGGGCCCACAGCATTGACAAATCAACGGTGACCGCTCGCAGCCTTTGGTACTTGTGTACCATGGATTGCATCAGTAGAGTTTCTCTTACAGATAAATATACCTACTCTGTGTATGACTGACCCAAAGCAATGCCTGCCAGCCCAGAGCTATTT